>NC_000015.10:91592793-91744308 GCF_000001405.40 Homo sapiens | reverse complement strand
AGAAGTCTGGGATATGCCATATATGTTTGGGAGTTATCAATATATAGATTGTAACTGAAGCAATGGGAGTGGAAAAGCTTGACTAGGAAGAGTATAGAGTGGGAAAGGAAGAGGGCTAGAGGAAAATGTATAGAGTAAATTCTGAGCATAGAGTAAGCTGAACACTGAAGTATATAGTTGTAGGAATGCAAATTGACACATTATTGCTATAACACAGGAAGGGTTGCTTGAAGAAAAAATATTTTTCTAAAATAAGCAATATGTGATTATTGCAGAAACCTAAGGGAATGAAGAAGAAGAATTAAAAAAAAAAAAAAAGAACACATGGGAGCCAAAGAAGACTTGCCCACAGGAAAGTCTTTCTTTGTGATTATTCAAGAGACACAGGTCAATGTCTGGATGGAATCTTTTGATGAGGACCTTGCATGACCCAGTGGATTTTTGGCTCAGGAACACAAGCTTTGTCAGGATTTAGTTCACAGCAACAAAAAGGAACAGAAATTTTGTCCCATTTTCCAGCACATACAGTCAGCTCAGTCTCAGTGTAGCCCCTCAGAATTGTTTGCCCAGCAGATAGTGACCCTTGTTCACCATGTTGTGGAGCATCACTTTCACTCCTCAGGATGACATTGTATGAATGCTTTACTAAATACCTAAACCGAGCAGGATGCAGCTAAAAACAAGAAAAGCCCAGAGATACACAGGAGGTTAGACATTTCCCTCAACACATTCAAAAAGCATGGCCTGGCTCATGATGAAATGAGAATTCCCCAGCAACTTGGCTTCAAGGCCAGAGGAAAATAAAAAGAAGATCCCATTGATCTTCACCTTGATATTGAACATGGTAAAAAACATAAGGAGAAAGAGCTTAAAAGAGGTAAATCAAGAGAATCAGTGGATTTCCGAGACTCAAGCCACTTAAGGGAAAGATCAGCTGAGAAAACAGAGAAAACTCAAGGGATCAAACTGGAAAAGCTGTCAGAACACAGACTGGCCCAGGTCATCATCCCCTTCCTCCCAGGCATCTCACTCTTGCAAAGCAGAAGTGTGCACTGAAGAAACAGAGGAGGGAAAGAAGAGCACCTGGGCTTTGAAAAATTGAGACTGGGGACCAAAACTTTGTGGGTCCAAGAGAAAGAGGAGCAGCAGAGCTCGAGGGGCCTTCCCATTTCCAGCCAGGGGGAGTGGCTTGGGAAGAGTCAGTTACTCTGGAATGACAGTAGCAACAATGATTTTCAAAAGAGAAACCAGGACTAGCAGTGGAACCCAGAGTATACACTCAAAAGCAAGAAGTGTTACTCACACAATGACTGTGAAGTTGAAGGCAGAGAGAAGTGGGTGAGCCAGAGCCAGGGCCAAGGCTGGGGAGGTTCATGTTTCAGAAGTCTAGCCCCAGCCCCAGAAGGGCCCATGACAAGTTCAGTGGGGAGGAAGGGGAGACTGAAGATAATGAGAGTGGGACAGAGAACCTAGGATAACTTATAGCCCACAACTCAGTGGGGGCTGCTTTTGACAGGAGCCCTTGCCTAGGGGAGAGAAGTGCTAGGAAGATGGCGGGTGAGGAGCTAACAGAGGAGCCTCAAGGAGACTCTGAAGATCTTATGCTCAACCCCACCTGCCTTGCGGAATCCTACTACAGCCGAAAGTATCCCACGTGCTGCATCCCACTGGACAGGAGAGGCCGGCCACAGAGCCTGGGGTGAAGCTCTGCTCTTCAACAGAACAAAACACACTGGGCTTTAGCTGAGTTTCTCATTTCTTCTCTATGTGAAGGGTAGAGACTAGGGCAGGAAGGGAAACTGATGTTTAGATTTCGGGTTATTTCCTATTAGAAACCAATAATTCTGTGCTTAATTTCATTTCATCTGGAGCTAAAAGGATTAATTTGATGATTTTTAATCTCATTCCCATCTTGATTTTAAAAGCACCCGCCACCTCACCCCACTTTTTAGGCATGTGTAGTCACATTAGAAGAAATATTTAATTTGGGCAACTTGAGTCTTTGTGAAAAAAACAATGTGAATAAACAATGGGAATGAAAGCATGTGAATAAGCATTGAAGCGTTCACCTCAGTTTGGAGCCAAACTGCTGGAATCCTTGTGAAAGCCAGTGTCGGTATGTCAGCGGGGAGTTAAGGTCTTTCTGACTACCTCGTGTTCCCCTTTCTCACACAGCCACGTCTCCTGTGGAGCAGCTCCCGACCACACCCCAGTCCCATATTTTCTGATTTCTCCTGGGCTGGGCTTCCCATTCTCCACCTGCATCTCCACTGTCCCAGACTTTCTAGTCTGGAAACTTGAAGGCAGTTTCTGGTCTATTTTCTGAGAAACTCCTAAATTCTATTATCTTTACAAATGTAAGGTGAGAAAATAATTTTTTTCAATATTTTCATTAATCTTTTGGTAAAATTTGTAACAACCATAATCAGTTAAGGAAGGTAATTAGGAGTGAGTGGTTTGTGTGGGGTTTTTTTGTTGTTGTTTTTGTTAATTTTTTTCTCCCCCTCCTTTTTTTTTTTTTTTCCACAGAGTTTTGCTCTTGTTGCCCAGGCTAGAGTACAATGGCATGATCTCGGCTCACTGCAACCTCCACCTCCTGGGTTCAAGCGATTCTCCAGCCTTAGCCTCCTGAGTAGCTGGGATTACAGGCACCCACCACCATACCTGGCTGATTTTTGTATTTTTAGTAGAGGCGGGGTTTCGCCATGTTGGCCAGGCTGGTCTCGAACTCCTGACCTCAGGTGATCTGCCCAAGTTGGCAGATCCCAAAGTGCTGGTATGACAGGCGTGAGCCACCGCACCCGGCCACCTTTGCACCTTTTTTTTAAAAAAACAAAAAACAAAAAACAAAAAAAACCTTTAAGCTCTAAGTTGAAACATCTGTAGATATTTGGGGAGAAAAATATCCTCTTAAAAGGGTCTTTGTGCTTGCCTTCTAGGCAGGCAGTCCTGAGCATGCAGCCCCTTAAAACACATGTGGACTGCATCTCTCTCCTTACTTCTTTACATTTCTGTAGTTAAGTTGGTTTCACTTGAATGATTCATGTCTGAGGAAAAAAGAGGAAAAATTTCTTAAAATTTGTTTCAAATCCTCCTGTAAATAAGTAAATTAATTAAATAAAATAAATGAAGTGACAGACATAAAAAAGGAAAAGCTAAAGAACACAAAAGTCAATCATCATTGTAGAACAGAGACCATTGTTATGAATATTTTATGTATTTCTTTCCAGCCATTTAAACTATAAACTACATTACATATTACATATTTCATGTCAATGAGATTAGAGAACATATGTGGTTTAATATCTTGTTTATTTCCTTTCCATGACATTATGAATGATTTGAAAACACCACTTGCATGTGTGCATAATATTCCATCATGTGGATGAGAAATTTTTAACAACATTTTACTCTGATAGCAAGATTCATAGGTAGAAAGTTGTCCTCTGTCTGAGTACGGAAGATTAGAGTGGATTTAGTTCCAATTTGGAAGGCAGAGGAGGGCCTACTGGGCATGAAACATTTGGACTAGAATTATAACTTTCATGAAGTTAGAATTATTTTATGAGATCAGTGCTTATTTTCTTCTTTAAACTTGAAGTTGTTCCTCTATTCTAGTTTTCAAAGCCACCAACTAAGTGAGGGAGCTGGTGGTTTGAATATAATATTGAGTTCCAGAGACATTATTATTATACTAGGATAGATAGAAGGTTGCCTAAATTGCAGGCAAAATAAGCCATTCTGCCATTTTTGGTTTTCTATAATGAGAGAATTCCAGGAGCAAAGGCACTGAAGACTAACATGCATTTGCAGTATCTTCCAGAGGTAGATACAGTCACACAGCATGTTTACGGACATGACAAATCCTCCTGCATTTGTATTTCAAATAGCTTGGGATGTTAGAATTGGAGGGGCTTTATAAAGAATAAATAAAGGAAAGGCAATTAAAAACAACAAAACAGCAGTTCTGAATTGGGGGCGGGGATGTAGGAAAGGGCAGAGAGCCAGTATCATTTCCAGAGAAGCCTACAAAACTGGGCATCCATTCATCCTGGATTAATAATGGAATTTGAGGAGCCAGTGCCCTAATAGCAAGTTGTTCTTTCAGAAACTTGCAAGCTGTTACCCCAAGAAAACAGACGCCAAACAGTTGTTACTTTTCTTTTGCAGCTCAGAACAGGGTGTTATTAGTGGCTAAATTTGGTTTCTTACCATTATGGCCAAATAGCTATCCCCATTCCAAGCCTGAACCTGGATAGTTCACTTAACCTTCTGAACCTCCATTTCCTCACTGTGATATTCTGCATCCGAGTTCACTCTACGGCAAGAGACAGTATGTGTTAAGGTATATTGGGAACTGTAAGGTATATTGTACTGTATGAATAAGAGTGAAAACTTTTTCTAGCAATTTTGCAGGTGTAATAACAGGATTTTATAGACCATTATATCTACAAATGCAGTTCTAAGGTAGGTCACAATGAGAGGAGGAATTATTTTTCCCGCATTATCATCTCCTGCCTGTGATTTGCATTTGATATTTAATACAATAATTTTCACTTGCTTTTGAAGTCAGTGAAATGGCTACCTCATGTCCTCTGACTTTTCTGGGATAATTTGACTTCCTTTGAGGTTTTATGGTTGATAACAAGTGCAAAGCCCCTTGGAAGACTTTTTGGTAAGTAATTTCAAGGATGTGTTGAGAGATGAAGCGTTATGTGAGGCATAAACTTTTTCCTTATGGGTTAGGACCACAGTCTTTCATGGAAATAGTTCAATCAGTTATGGTGACAGACAGTGTGTGGTCTGGAACAATCTCTCCCATGTGCAATTCATACACCCACGAGACACCTGTGGAGCTCAGGTAGTATTTAATGTGGATGATGCCTTCCCACTTTGATTTCTCTTGCTTAAGGTCAAGTGTACCATAAGATCCACTTTAGTCAGTACTCTATTATCTGTCAGTGACAACAACCTAGGAGCGTTCAACAAATATATAATCTGACTACATATGTACAAGACTGATCCAGGAATACAGTGGCTAGTGACTCCAAGTTTGTAGTCATATCTCTTTGTTAAAAAATGTTTTTAGTTTTCTTCCAAGAATCAATATTGTGCAGCCCATTTTTATGAGGGAGAGTACTCACCCAATATACCTCTCCCACCAACTACCAAAGAAAATATCTAGGCGTTTCAATCTTTTGCATATGATTTCATACATTTGTCTAGTTCACCAGTGGTTAATGTTTCTTTGCGGACCAGGTCCTCAATTCCACTTTGCTTCCTTGAACACTCACTTGTTGGTTCCACTGAGCCACAGGCTTGCTTCCTTGTCAGTGGCTGAGAAATCCTTAACATCCTTCACATGTTCTTGCTTGTCCTTTATGATTTGCCAGCAGCAGCGTTGTGTCCACCGCCATTTGGCATGTGCTTGTTGAGTGGCATGGCCTCATGGTCTACACTGTTTCAATTATTTACCTCTTATCTTGCTCTTACGTGGGCGTTTTCGTTTATTTCCCTAGGCTATGTCATTGAATTAATGAGACTGAAATGTGCACATGACACAGTTCCATTCTGTACTTGGGATCACCCCCTGGGCTTGGCACATGGCTTCCATGACCTCAGCTCCAACACCATCATTCGCCTGTTTCAATTCTGCCCCAGATGTGCACCAGAGAGGGCCGGAGCAACATTCTGGCTCTCCTGGCCATGCCTGTGTGGACCAGATTCATTAGCCTGTCAAGTTTGGCTGATGTCCATCAGTTTCTAAGCTTTGGGAGTCTCTTGCTAATGCACCAAAGGGTAAGAGTGTTTGATCCCTGTTCTGTTCTGCTCTTTTATTATCTGTCTGACTTCAATTATTTGGGGCATGTATATCTGGAACATTATCTGGAAATTGGGAGGCATAGAAATCAACCCTATGTATACAAATAGATAAACTCAGAGCTCCTTCAACAAACATTTATAAACTGGTTTTTAGAAATCTTGATGGTTTGTCCCTCTCTTTTGCTGCTTGGGAAATGAACATGACAGAAGGCTTAGGCTGCCCTTGGACTCTCCATAGGGATCAACACCAGGGGTTCATGGACCACCCAGAAAGAAAACTCGCATCAATGGGTATATGTTCATTTTCATGGAAAATGTTTTATGGCTTTCATAAGATTCTCAAAGGAGTCAGAACCCCTCCACCCCAATTATTCACTATTGCTCTGAGGGATTTTCTTATCTAGTTTGGGGATACCCCCTCATCTTACTAACTACCTCTGAACTCCCAGTTAAAAAAATAAAAGATGAGCCTGTTGATTCATTTTGAAATTAAAATTGTTATTTAACACAATATGCCTTATTTTATATTTTGAATTAGTATATTTTAGATATAATTTATATATTTATTTAAATATAGTTTTATATTTAGTATTTATAAATTTAGTTACATATAGGTATAAAATATACAAACTATATACATACATATATATATTTCTATAATAGAGCTGAAGTTTGGTCATCTAGTGTATTAGTCCGTTTTCACTCACTGTTGATAAAGACATACCCGAGACTGGGCAATTTGTAAAGGAAAAGAGGTTTAACAGGCTCAGTTCCACGTAGCTGGGGAGGCTTCACAATCACGGCAGAAGGTGAAAAGCACGTCTTATATGGTGGCAGGCAAGAGAGAATGAGAGCCCAATGAAAGGGGAAACCACCTTATAAAATCATCAGATCTCAAGAGACTTACTACCATGAGAACAGTATGGGGGAAACCGCTCCCATGATTCAATTATCTCCTACCGGGTCCCTCCCACAACACGTGGGAATTATGGGAGCTACAGCTCAGGATGAGATCTGGGGACACAGCTAAACCATATCATCCAGTGTCTTTCCCCTCTGCCTGCTGGAGTTCTGCTTTTAATTCTGGAGCGTGCTCCATTGGATTGTGACTCTGATCCCGTCTGCTGTGTAGGCTGCTGCGTACTCAGCCCAGCCCCGCCCCTTAGTATGTGTGTTTAATGTTTCCTTGGGGGAAAGCTGCTGTAGCTTTGCACTGAAACTGCTGTTTGTGCTTTTGCTCAAGAGACTGTTTTCTCTTATCACATAGATCCATTTTTGTTACTGCCTTTGAAAAGTAAAAACGTTTCTTATGACTTGAGGGGAAAAAAATCTAAAAAGATGTCTTCCTGGCTTATACCTTGAACAGGTGGCTCCTCTGTTGAGAACCCTCTCTTCCGTCCAAGTTTACCTGGAGCTCAGAGCATACCTTTGCAGGAAAAAAAAACCAAACAAACAACAACAACAAAAAAAAACAGGGACAATTTGAGTTAACTAACAACCAAATGTTGCTTAACAGATTCTTCCATGTTTTTTAAAAAATGGTTTGTTTAAGTCATGGCCTCCGAGCTCTCATTTGCTTTGCTGGGGGTGTAGGCTCCGTGCCGTGTTGCCCGTGTAAGCACAGCTCTGCTCCCTGTGAATAAGCTGGAGGTCTGAAGCCAAGGAAATCTAATTTGATGCCCAGCTGACAATGTGACTTAATGCTTCTGAGCCTCAATCACTTTACCTCTAACACTGGGGATAATAATGACTATTATGTAGGGTTGGTAATAAAATAATGACCATTTAGTCCTGGCACATGAAGGTGGTTATTTCTATGCATTTCAGAAGTAGGTGTTCAATAAATGTGCAATTATTAAATGCCAACTACAATGAAGAGACGTGAGTCCTACTGTGGCTTGTGACCAGCTGCCTCAGTTTTACTTCTCAGTAGCTACTACTTCATCTCCTTTTTTGCTGCCTCCAGTTACTGTCTATATTGATTTTCCAGCCTGATGTGGTGCAGTGAAGACAGATTTGAGAAATACATTAAAAATATTCACCAAAGAGGCCAATTTTTCAGGCAAATGCATAATGAAACTTCTGATTGTCTCAAATGATTTATACCAGTGACTATTCATCAAGCCGGGTGCACTATTTTTTTGGTGAAGTGGGAGATTTCATCACAAGATGTAAGACCCGTAATTTTTATGGATACATAGAGAAAAATTCAACAACTGAACTGATAGTTAATGATAGAGTCACTGAGTTTATTAAATTGTTTGTTAAAAGTACAGTCTCAGCCGGGCGCGGTGGCTCACGCCTGTAATCCCAGCACTTTGGGAGGCCGAGGCGGGCGGATCACGAGGTCAGGAGATCGACACCATCCTGGCTAACACGGCGAAACCCCGTCCGTCCTAAAAATACAAAAAATTAGCCGGGCGTGGTAGCGGGCACCTGTAGTTCCAGCTACTCGGGAGGCTGAGGCAGGAGAATGGCATGAACCCGGGAGGCAGAGCTTGCAGTGAGCTGAGATCGCGCCACTGCAGTCCAGCCTGGGTGACAGAGCGAGACTTCGTCTCAAAAAAAAAAAAAAAGTACAGTGTCTTTGGAGTAATCTTTAAAACTGGAGAATTAATCAACTCCTTACATGTCTCCTTTTTTTCTTTCCTTATTTTCTCTATTGGGCAGAGAGGCAAATTTTCCATGGCCTACAACTAAATGTTCCCAAGTGGAAAATACCCAGGCAAGTTCTGTCAAATACCATGACTCAAAGGTGGTCTAATACAGTGTTCTGTTTTCTATGTTTTTTGAAACTGTTACACTTTTTACTTTGTAATACTTTTAGATTTACAGAAAAGTTGCACGGTCAGTACAGAGAATTCCCATACACCTTTCACCCAGCTTTTTCAAGTGTTAACATCACACATAACCACAGCATGTTTTTTAAAACAAAGAAATTCACATCGTTTCAGTAGTATTAACTAGATTACAGATATTATTTTGCTAGTTTTTCTACACATGTCGGGTTTTTTTTGTTCCAGGATCCAGTCCAAGACACCACATTGCATTTGTTGTGTCTCCGAAGTCTCCTCAATTCTGTGATAGGTTCTCAGCCTTTCCTTGGTTCCCATGACCTTGACAGTTATGAAGACAGCTGGTCAGAGATTTTGCACAATGTCCCTCCATTTGGGTTTGTTGGATGTTCTTTCATCATTAGACTGGGGTCAAGGGCTTTGGGGGAAGAAACCACAGACATGAAGTGCCCTTTTCTTTGTTCCATACTAGGGAATGCATGATATCAAGCCTTTGGGAAAGGGAGAATCTACAAACATTATTTGGAATTCTGTAAGAAAGATTTATCTATTCTCCTCCATGTGTTTATTTCTTTGATCAATTGTTTATATCAGTACAGCTCATGGGTATTTGTTTTATTATTTGAGTTACAATCAAATATGATTGTTTTTTATTTTGTTGCTCAAATTCTTCCAGCTTTGTTCCAGGGCTGAACAAAGGGTTGGATCCTGTGTCCCTTGGACAAGCCCCACCTATCTCCTTCCCTCTTCCCTCCCTCCCTCTTTCTTCCTCTTCTTCTCTCCTTCATTTTCTCCTTCCTTCCTTCCTTTTTCCTTCCTTTTTTCTTTCCTTCCTTCCCTCCTCCTTTTATTGGAGGGGAAGAGGGTACTACCTTCCGTACTGGGATTTTAAGATGTTTCTGGCTCATCTTGTTTTCCCTCTCCCAACCCTGGAATCAGCCATCTCTCCAATAAATGCAGTGTTTTTTTTTTAACACAGACTTTTTGGCCAGAAAAATCTAGATTTTAGTCCTAGTTATGTCACAAGCTAGCTGATCATTTGTGACAAGTTTTTTTTAACCTCCCCAAGTCTCAGTTTCCACAGTTACAAAAGGCGCAAAATAGTTCCTATATCATGAGATTGAGATGTAGATTAATCCATATAAAGGATCAAACACAGTCTCTTGTGTATAAGTTCTCATTGCCCCACTTCCTTTGCTGGCAGAAGCTATGTGAGGGATACCAAGATGAGGGTAAATAAATTCTATGAACCTGTGAATGGCAATGCTGGAAGAATTGCTTCAGGAAGGGAAGGTAAATCTGTATCCGGAATATGTATCTGTTGCTGTGAAACAATTGTTGATCTCCCCATGATGTAAGGGACCCCAGGGTAATTGATCTATTGTCATTTGACTGGCATGTTTCCCGAGGAACTGGTACCATGTCAGGGACTCAATGCTATTGAGAATTTAGGTCTTCAGCTGGGGCACTAGCCAGATGAGGCTTGGTAAGGAGAAGTCCACGTTTTTGAGCCCGTGTGTTTTCTCCATCTCTGCCATGAGAGCCACTTTGTTCATGGGCCCTCTGAGCAAACACTAGCATAGATGGGAAAAGAAACTGACTGACATTTATGGTATCATTTTGTCCGCTTGACTGTATCCTCCTCCACTACAGATACTTTTGGGGGGGCATTTATATGAGATATGAATATCTTCACACCCTGCTTCCAGTTGAGTGGCTGGTTCCCCAAGGGAATATAGTATCAGGCGCGGGGTCTCACTCCAAACCCTACGGGTCTCCACAGGGATTCTACTGTTGGTGTTCACCAGGGCTTTCATAATGCATCTCTGTCTTTCTCTGACACTGGATATCATTGGATTTTATGCATCATAAGAACTGAATGAAGATCTGCCTCCTGGGACACAGAGCTAGCCGGGGAAGGTGGACTGTGGATCTGTAGGAGCGATAGTCAACACAGAGCCCTCTCCTGACTGCCCTATCTGAAGAAGCCCTCCCACCCCTCACAGTGACTCTTTACCGTACATCTACTTTATTTCCATTGTGGCACTTATAATTATCAGAAATGTCTTGTTCATTTACTTGCTAATTGTCTGTCTTCCCTCCTAGGATGTAAACTTCTGAGGGAAAATAATCTATCCCATTAATTTCTATATCCTTAGTGTGTGGAAAAATGCACGGCACATAGTAGATCCTCAGTAGCTAGAAACTGAATCTGTGATTCATGGTAAGATCTCTTCTAGCGTGAACATTCTATCATTCACTGTGTCAATAGGCTTTAATAACAGTTAGCCATTCTTATGATGGTGTATTTTGTTTCAACTCATCACATAGTCTGCATAGCTCAGTGGTTCTAGAAGACCATTATTTTCTCTCAGTCTAGGCAATCTCCCGTAATGGGACAGCCAGCTGCGGCACAGAATATCTATGCATTTTGGAATCAGGCAGGCACATCTAAGTAACTGTGATCTTGAATGAGGCCATAAGACATTTTTCAAATGTTTGACCTATGTGGGCAAGCGCACACACACACACACACACACACACACACACACACACACACCACACCAGCATGGCATTTAGTTTCATAGAATTCCAGGAAGGCACATGGATGCCGCCTTTTGCCTGTGATAATGGGCCTTTGTAACCAAGGAAAGGACCTGGTCCCTGTCCAGTGCAGCACGGGGAAATTCCTCAGAAAAACATCAAGAACAGGGGTGCATTGTTCTTCGAGACCTTTGTGCCTGGGTTATCTTAATTCCTTGGTTTCCATGTTCACTTGACCTCAATCATTCTCACAGTGACAGCAGCCAATCTCCAAATTCTGGGAAGTCTGCGATACAGTCAGTAGCTGATCTCCTCAACCCTCCACGCTGGTTAGCAATGGAAGCAATTGTATTCAAGATTGGACTGGCCAAAGGGTCACTGGCCAGGGGCCATTTTGAGGGGGAAGTATTCAACTTGTGTTTTAACCATAACAATGACCCAAACAAAAAAAGTTATAGAATTTGTACAGACAGAGACTATAACTTCATTTTCCTTGCCTTGCCAACTGGCATCAGACTCTGAGTTCCTTCTCTTGGCTACACCATGAGAGCCACATGGCAGATTCAGGGTGACTGTATGGGAGTGCAATGGAAAGGGGCATCAATTGAAGATGCATTTGTTATATTTCAAATCCACCACATGCTGAGATCCCAGCTTTGCAGAGAGGTGAGCCCCACTAATGCCTTCTTCTGGGACACTCCTGCGGGATCTAGGGTGAGTCCACTAAAGTCAGTTCTACTGATAATATCATGCTCTGGTTCTCCTGATAGGTTGAAAATCTCCTTTATCCCTGGAGGCTGGGAACTCATGGGGAGGAACAATGCTCCATCCTCTTCCTACCCTAAACCCTCCATCTCCACAAGGCTAACCCATGGGTCCATGTAAAGCTCTTTGCTGAATGAGGAAGGAGTTTCCAGAAGGCAAAGACAAGCTAAGAAAGGCAAAATAAGAAGTCCCAGGTAATTTAGAACTTCTTTGCCACACACAAGGAAAGATACACCTGGACTCTGGGTGTAGGCAGAAATGGTGGCGTCCTGGCAGAGGTGTGTTTGCCAAGAAACAAACAAAGCCTTAGCTTCAGGGCCCCTCCCTTACATGACCCTGGGAGGAGAACTAGAAATGTGTTCAAGTGTTTGTAGCTTTTTGTTCAATTTGTAGGAGTAAGATATTTTCATTCCAAGTGTTGCAGGACCGTCTCTATTGCCACTCCATTTTATTCCCTGTCAACATCCCCTCTGATTGTCATGAGAGGTGGGGTGGGGGAATAGAGTGGCCATGGACATCTGTGAAATAGTGAGAGGAAAGTTGCATTGAGAATACATTTAGTTTGTCTCGATATAAATTTTTTGTGTCATTGCCATTGCTGCCATATATAGTCACTAGAAGCTGCCCCATAGGAGTGGCTTGGAGGATTAGCCATGCTGCCCCACATGCTGGGTCTCCTAGCATCATCCTACAAATGAGCATGGCCTGACGTCACAGGAATGGCGTCTTGTGAAGCCTAGCACCATAATGGGAGAACAAGGGATGAAATGTACAAAGTCAGATACTAGCCTGGAAAATTCTTCCAAATCTAACAACTCACACAAAAAAAGAAAGTAGATATTAGTTTTCTGGGGTCTGTAACAATCTCAAAAAAATCATATGACATTACCAACAATAATTTTTGAAGCAAAATGAAATTTCCTAAACTCTCAATAATAAAAGATAAGGTTTACACTATCTTGCTAATGAAGAGATGGAACTACCTTCCTAATTTCTTTACAGGAAATGTTACAAAATCCCAGGATATTTAGCCAATAACTGGACAAACAAACAAAATTAAAAAACTGTGAACAAAAAGAGAAGTATGCCAAATAATGAAGTCATCAAAGTGTTATTTGCTGTGTATTTGTGGTGTTGGTCAACTTTTAAAAATTTTTGTAGTTTCTGCATTCAAGATAAATGATCACCTTTGAGGCTGATTTTTGTATCTTTAGTGTTGTATTCTTTTTTCTAATAAGGACTCCTAAATGGTATGTTCCAAGACCTGTGAAATCCTGAGCTGCCCTGTGCCCAGGGACTCTCCAGCTGCAGGGTACCTGGTCTTTCCTTCTGTCCTCAGCACAACAGCACATCCCACCTCCAATCTCTCAAAGTGTGACAAAACATCACCTGCCTGGGGAAAGCCCATCCCTTCCACAAAAAAAAGATCTCATCTTCTACCCTCAGAGATTGCTCTCGTCTCATTCTCCAGGTTCCAAGACATGTCTGTGCTCCAGCCAGGTGGGCAATAATATTTCACAGGTACTGAGGGTGAGTATAGGCTCAGCTGGGTGGGCAAGGGAGGCTAATTCTCCCATTTGAGTGTTCTTTTCAGCTATGGGTTCCATTGCCGGGCTACATACAAAACTTATTGTCCAAACACATTTATTCTTCTTAAAGACTATACAGTATAAAATCACAATAAAATTATTTCTTTTTAGAAGAGCTGTGTACCTTAGAGATAGAGGGGCTTCATAATTTTCCTTAGAAGTGTTAGGTTTCGGCCAGGCACAGTGGCTCACGCCTGTAATCCCAGCACTTTGGGAGGCTGAGGCAGGTGGATCACCTGAGGTCAGGAGTTTGAGATGAGCCCGGCCAACATGGCAAATCCCATCTCAACTAAAAATTCCAAAAAAAAAAAAAAAAAAAAAAAGGCGGGTGTGGTGGTAGGCACCTGTAATCCCATCTACTCGGGAGGTTGAGGCAGGAGAATCTCTTGGACCCAGAAACCCAGGAGGGGAAGGTTGCAGTGAGCCGAGATGGCACCACTGCACTCCAGCCTGGGTGACAGAGCGAGATTCCTTCTAAAAAAAAAAAAAAAAAAAAAAAAAAAGCGTTAGGTTTCTTCTTCCTGGCTTTGTTTGAGATGGAGGTGACAACAGTCGATGGTGTCTCAAAATGATTACGGTGACTGAGATTATGCCCAGTTTAAAGAAGAGTAGCTGATAAGTTTGTGATTTAATACTGCTGATGGAAATCATCATGATTTTGGAATCAAAGGAATTGAATAAACCATTGCTAGCCATGTGTGGAGTTAAATCCCTTCACGACTAAGCCTGTTTAACAAATATTGAATAGTTGAGTGCCTACTATTTGCCAGACACAAGAAAAAGCATAAACTCATTAGACTTTTCTATATTTGTGTAAAATATTAATAAAAAGTGATTAAGAGACACATCAGAAATCAAATAATAAAAATTAATTTAATGGTAGCCAGCACTTTATTTTATCACCCCGTTTAAGGCACAGAGTACCTATTTCAGATATATTATTTCACTAGGTCTAGTCTTCCCAATAAGCCTATGAGGTAGATACTGTTGTTATTCCGTATTATAATGTGTGTACTGAAGTGTAGAAAAGTTCTCAAACTCACACGTCTAGGTGTAGCAGAGCTGAAATCCAAGCCCAGGCTTGGCTACAGATGCTCTTCATGCAATCACTGCTTCATATCTTTGCCTTATACCACGAAGTCGTTCTTGTGGGTACTGCTATCCCAATATTCTATTACCAAGGAAGGAACAATGAGAGATGGTCCAATCTGATGTCAACTTTAAAGATGAAGATTAGACTTCCTATTTTGGTTATGATAAATAACTCGTGCCTGCCAGGAACAACGATAAAAAACTAGATTTTAAAAAGCTGTTGAAAGGCAGCCAAGATTTGAGTGGCCAAGATCCTGAAAGAAAAGGAACAGATAGACGTGAGCTCTATGGTGGCCACCACATTTCTCCTCAGGGTGCTTAATGATGTATGTCACAGAGCAGAGACCAAAGGCTTACAGCTGAGGTAAACATAAAATTGGAATTTAAGGCTGTTAAGGCAGTCAGGATTTGTGAAGCCAAGACCTCAGAGAAAAAAGGACTGTAGAGAAGTGAGCTTAAATTGCATCATGCATAAAAAAGAAGAATCATGTACATTTTCCAACATGTTCTCAACCTGGCATGAGGTTAAATAGCCTTAATAATAAAACTGACAAAGACATTACAACAAAATTATTTTTTATCTTCCTCATGAACTTAGGTACAAAAGTTCTTAACAAAATGTGAGCAACCAGAATCTAGTAACATATTAAAAGGAAAATACATTACAACCAAGTTGGAATTATTCCAAGAATGCAAGGCTGGTTTAACAATTGAAAATCATTCCAAATGCTGTGGAACCAAAAGAAAAAAGAAGAAATATTAGAATCTCCAATGACACAGTTTACTGAATAAATGAGAATATGGAGGGAATTGTGATTATCTCAATAAGTGCATTAAGATATGTAATATAATTTACATTGATTCATGATAGAAAGGCTAAGCAAAATAGAAATAACAGGGAATTTCCTTTATCTAATAAAGGTCATCGATAACAACTCTATGACTAATTTTATACTTAATGATGAAATGTTAAAACTCTCCCCCTCAAATTAGGAGTAAGACATGAATTTCTGCTGTCCCTATTTTACTCAACATTTTACTAAAGGTGTTATCTAGTGCAATAAGGCAAGCAAATAAATGGCACAAGAATTGAGAAGGACAAAATAAAGCTGTTATTATTTGCAGATGACATGATATATGCAAAAATGTGTTTATTTTTTATTTTTACCAAAAAGTAAACAAATAAGCCATTAGAATTAGTAATTTAATTTTGCAAGATTGCAGCATACAATCTCAGCCTGTCAAAATAAATTGTACTTCTATATACTAGGCAGAAACAATTAGAGTATGATATTTTTTAAAAACCACCATTTGAAATAGAATACAAAATAATCACTGGGAATAAATTTAATGAAAGGCCTATAAGGCTTTTACTTATAAAGTCATAAAACATTACAGATACAGATTCTAAAAGACCCAAGTATATGGAGGAAATACAAAATGTTCATGAGTTAGAAGATTAAATATTGTAAATATGTTAAATCATCTCTAGTTTCACCATAAATTCAACGGAATCTCAATTAAAATTCTAGCAGGTATTCCTGTGGAAATTGACAAGCCAATTTAAAAATGTATGTGAATATGTAAAGGACAGAGAATAGTGTAGAAGAGCTTGAAGAAGAGCAAAATTGAAGAACTTTTGCTACCAAACGTTAAGATTTATTATAAAGCTGCAGTAGTCGGGTCAGAGTGATATTATTGTAATGATTGACAAACATAGCAAAAGAACAAAATAGGCAGCCCAGGAATAGGTCCATATATATGTGGTCTGCTGATTTATGACAAAATTGCTACTGTAGTCCAGAATGTCTTTTCTACAAATGGTGCTGTAATAATTGGATATCTACAGGGGGCAAAAATGAATTCCAGATGGGTCACAAATCTAAATATGTTAAAGTAAAGCAATAAAACTTCCAGAACGAAAAGTAGAAAATATCCTTTTGGCCCTAGGTCAGGCAAAAATTTTAAAATAAGACTTTAAAATGCCAGTAAGATAGCATTAAGAGAGTGTGAAGGTAAACCACACAGGAAGAAAACATTTGCATCTAGTATATATAGAAGTCCTTTAAATCAGTAAGGAAAACACTGTCAACCTAATGTTCAACAAAGGCAAAATACTTGGACAAAGGAGAATTTACAGATGGCCGATAAGTATAAGCAAAGTTGATCATGGAAAATCGCAAATTCAAACCAGAATGATATGCCATTTACATACCCATCAAAACGAGTAAAATTAAAAAGCCTAACAACAATGCCCAGCATTGGAGAGGATGTGGAATAAGTGAGCTGTCCCAAACTTTCTGCTGGTGTAAATTAGAGTATCCGCCTTGGAAACCTGTTTGATTGTATTTACTAAACGAGAATATGCAGTGTCCCTAAGTCCCAGAAATTATACTACAGATATGCACTCAACAGAGACAAGTATAAAAAGGTTGCTAGAAGCATTACTCCTAATAGCCTCAAAATAGAAAAATAACACAAAAAAACAGATATCAAGAAATAAATTATGGTTAATTTTTACAATGGAATATTACATAGCAGCAAAAAGTAATGAACTTCTGCATTATGAACAATACTGGGACAACACAGATGGATCTTGCAGGTATAATTTTGAGTGAAAGAAGGAGACACTAAAGAGTCTATTTATGACATTATTTATTCATTGAAAAACAGATAAAATTAAACTATGATGACAGAAGTCAGGGCAGTGGCTACCCTTGTGGGTGGGTGGTGGGGAGGGGTATGGGGCAGCATTCTGGAAGTTTGGTAAATGCTTTCTATCCTGATACAGGCCATTACAGAGCACATGTTTGTAACAGTTCTTAGATCTGTTCACTTAAGATCTATGCATTTTCTGAATATATATTATAGTGCAATTTTCAAAAGCATTTGAAAAGAGAGATTAGGCTCATTTGTTTTATCAAATCATCCACTGAGGGCCCACCCTGTGCCAGGCCTTATGCCAGAACTCAGGTATACAAATTAAGGAAACTGCTGGATGCTGTTAAAATAGACAATCAGTCTGTATACATTAAACATTATAATAGTCTACAAGGGGCTGTGGGAAGGCCATATTGGGGAAGGGTGGATGTTTTGGCAGAAGACAGAAGTGGTTCCATTCTCAGCTCTGGATAGATGTGTATGTGAGGCACTTGAGAATCAGTGTGAGTCTTTTCAGAGAAGCCTCAGACAACGCAGAAGTCAACTGGCCTGGCCTCTTCAAAAAACTGATGTCATGAAAAAATGAGGTGGAAGGGCTCTTCTCTAAAAAAACAAGGCCAGGTTTGATGGCTCACACCTGTAATCCCAGCACTTTAGGAGGCCAAGGTGGGAGGATTGCTTGAGCCCAGGAGTTTGAGACCAGTCTGGGCACCATCTTTACACAAAATTAAAAAAAAAAAAGCTGGACGTGGTGTCGTGTGCCTGTAATCCCAGCTACTGTAGAGGTTGAGGTGGGACGATCACTTGATCCCAGGAGGTCGAAGATGTAGTGAACCATGACTGTGCCACTTCACTCCAGCCTGAGCGACAAAATGAGACCCTATCTCAAAAGAAAGAAAGACAGAAGGAAGAAATAGAAAGAAAAAGAGAGAAAGAAAGAAAAAGAAACAAAGAAAGAAGAAAGAAGCTAAAATGTAATGTGTGAAATTTTTTTCTGTTCTTTTAAAAGCTTTGTACCTTTTTTTAAGCAATGGAGGACATATGCATATGAACTGTCTATTGGATTATGCTAGAGACTTTCCAATACCTTACGTGTAATAAATCATATTGTGTAGAACACCCTGTTGTAAGGATATATGTACTGCAGTATTTAGGGGTGAAGTATTATGAAACTTTAAATGTTTCAGGAAAAAAAGATAAACACACACACACACACACACACACACATATATGTGGATAAAAATCTGGCAAAATTATTGGAGCTAAGTAGTGAGCAATAGGTTATCACTGACCTATTCTTTGAATTAGTTTGTATATTTTCATAAATTTTTGAAAAAATATGAAGCAGATTGGGACACCACAATGCCATTTACTAGCTGTGTGATGTTGGGCAAATTACTTAATTTGTCTGCACCTCCCTTTCTTCAACTGAGTGATAATTATGGCACCAAACTTGCTGTTTTTTTGGTGGGGAATAAGTGGCTTAATATATATAAAGTGTTCGGAAGAGTTTATGGCCAAAGAAGAACATCGCTTTAACGTCTCAACTGGCAATCCTCACTGAGCCCAGTTCTCACTCACTGTTCTGGCTCTTCTTCCTATTTCTGACTTGGATTTATTTCACTCCTAACCCTGTTAAAACTCACCTACCACTTCTCTGTTCTGGCCTGCAGATTCAGAGGCCCTTTCTGTGGTCCATCTCTTTCAACATTTGGGTCCTTAGAGAGCTGACAAAGGTCCAGCCATTGGAAATGCTGGCTCTTTGTTTCTGAGTTGTCTCCCGTCGCTGAGGAAGATGCCAAAATAGGCAGGTGCCAATTAATACTCATCCCTGAGGGACTTTACATGAAAGAGTGTTAAGAGCAATAGCAAACTAATAAAAACAGGGCTCAGAAAAGTCTAATGCTGGGTCCCCGAACTTGATTGTCTACTTTTGGTAGAACTCAAAGAGCTCCTTTTCTTCTCCATGCAGAGGAGTAATGTGGAGAAGTAAATGCAAGGCTCTGGACTAGAGGTGCACAGTTGAAAAGGGAGAGGCCAACCATGTGCTGTGGGTCACACCTGTAATCCCAACACTTTGGGAGGCCGAGGCGGGTGGATTGCCTGAGCTCAGGGAGTTCGAGACCAGCCAGGGCAACATGGCAAAACCCTGTCTCTACCAAAAATACAAAAAATTAGCCAGGCATATGGCACATGCCTGTGGTCCCAGCTACTTCAGAGGCTGAGGTAGGGGGATCCCTTGAGCCTGGGAGGTGGGGGTTGCAGTGAGCTGAGATAGCACCACTGCACTCCAGCCTGGGTGACAAAGTGAGATCCCATCTCAAAAACAGAAACAAAACAACCATAAACAACAACAACAACAACAAAACAAACAAACAAGAAAAGGGAAAGGCCATGAGAGCTAAGAGGGTGGTGCAAGCCCTTGGGGGCTGCAGGACCTCTCCATCTCCAGCCCACATGGCAAAAATTTTAAAATAAGACTTTAAAATGCCATTAAGATGGCATTCCTTTTAAGGGAACCCCTGGTTTCCTGAAGGTCAAAAAACAGGTCGAAGAAATAATGGAAGCTCAAAAAGATGCACTGGAAATCCATACCTGTTCACTCTCTCCACCTCTAAGGAGTGGGAAGTAGCTGAGTTTGATAGGACACTGGCCAGCATAGACACTGGCCTCTGGCTCTCCTGCAGCAGGGAAGTCCACAAGTGATGGCGAGGATATCTCCTCTTGGACACAGCTGTGCTCAGGCTTGCAGAGTCCTGTGGCTGCTTTGGGTTCAGTTTTTCCATTGTTGATGAGATGGACGCTGTAGCAGGCAGAAACCGTCTAGGGGAGGACCTTGAAGGCAACCCAAGAAGTACAGAAGATTTACCAGAGCATCACGTGGATGGAGGTAGAGGGCACATGGGCCCAGCTGGGGGAGTTGCAGGAATGGAGACGCAGAAAGAGAAAGCGAGGAGGAGGTAGTGATGGTGTATAAGAGGAGAAAAGGGGGGTGGTGGAGATGCTGTGATGGAATGGAAGAACTCTTCCTTTGGAGAGAGGGGCACTTGGAGGATAACCCAGTGGTAGGGAGGTAGTGAGGGATGGCTGATTAAAGGAGAAGAGACCTGCTGCCCTCCGAGCTCCAGGCCCCCTGCCCTCTTCCCTGCCTCTTCTGGTAGTGTAGGAAATGGAGATATGTACATAAAGTATGCATTCATGGAAAACTAGAACATTTTGAGATTCTTGGCTTAATGATATATAATAGGGTAATTGTGACATTGTAAAATATATATTTGGTCTTTGACCCATTTTCTGACATATAGCTCCTAAAACTCTGGAAATCTCTGGAGTAATAACAACATCTTTTGCATGCTAATGAGATGACTGGTGGCCAGAGTAGGTAGTTCATGATGAGGCTGCTCATCAGAAAGACCAAGGCATGAGTGGAAGATTGGGACTTTCAGCCCCAATCCCCAACCTCTAGGGAGGAGAGAAGAGATGAAGACTGAGTTGATCACCGATGGCCAATGATGTAATCAATTATGTTTATATAATGAAACTTCCATAAAACCACAAAAGACTGGGTTCAGAGAGCTTCTGTATGTTCACGTGTGGAAGTTCCTAGGGGGAGACTTGCTGAGGAAGGAACAGAAGCTCCATGCATCTTCCCACATACATTGCTTCAAGCATCTCTTCCATCTGGCTGTTCATCTGTATCCTTTTTGATATCCTTTAAAATAAATGGGTAAACGTAAAGTATTTTCCTGAATTCTGTGAGCTTCTCTAGCAAATTAATCGAACACAAATGAGGGTCACAGGAGCCCTGATTTATAGCCAGTGGGTCAGAAGCACAGGTCACAACCTACGCTTGTGATTGGCGTCTGAAGTGGGGAGGCAGTTTTCTGGGACTGAGTCCTCAATCTGTGGGGTCCGATGATATCTTCAGGTAGATGGTGTGAGAATTGAATTGAATTAGAGGATACTCAGCTGGTGTTCACTGCAGAATTGCTTGCTCGGTGTGTGGGGAAAGTCCCGCTCACATTTGCTGGAGAATTGATTGGTTGGAGTGTGAGAGTAGTAAAAACACACAGGCTTGTTGTTTTCCCCTATATCCTTTATTTGATTTAATACTTCTTAATCTATTGTTTGTTATGCTCCTTTTATTTAATTTTGGGAGTGCATGTATTTGGGGAAATGTGTATTGTCCAAGATAATAGATATCCCCAGACATGCTAACTAGGACAACCCCTAAGGGTGAGACATTGCAAAATGGTGCTTGGAATTGCCTTGAAAGACCACTTGTGCAATGAGCCAGTGACACAAGGAGGTGACAAAATGGACTTCTCCAGGTCTCTGGTGAGCCATATCTTCAATGTAGTCTCATTTTTCAAAGAAGCTGGACAAAGTTATCTTTTTTCCCCAAACCCTCAACTAGACTTGGGAGCCTCTTTCAAGATCTGAGAAAAAAATTAAACGATTTTACATTGACTAAAATATCTTCAGTTTTTAGCTTATGCTTAGGATATGAAGAAGAATGAAACTAATCAAGATGTAGTCATCCATTCATTCTTACTAATAATTTAAGCCCAGACAGTAGGGAAAGTACAGATTTGATCTTATTTGATTTTTGTGGATTGCCCTAAAAGAGGGTGGGAGATCAAATTTTTTATCTTTTTGTGAGCTGGTTTATTTTATATGTATATTGGCAAGCTCAATCTACAGTCAAGTTTGCATAAGATCTTGATTAAATTTGTTACCCTGACCACTATTGGATTTTAGCAAAAATGCCTGATAGAGAAGTGTGATATGAAAATATATATATGTCATCTTCTTCCCAGTTTCCTGGCATACAACTCCTAAAATCCTCAGAATCTCCAAAGTGCTTTTTGTATACTAACGTTCACAGAAGCTTCAGGATAGGGCTGGTTGCCAGAAACCCTGAGAAGACAGAAGCATGATTAGAAGATTGAGACTTTCAGCCCTACCCCTCAACCTGTGGGGGCTGGGGTGGGGGGGCGCTGAAGGTTAAGTTGATTGCCAATGGCCAGAGGTTTAATCAATCATGCCTATGTAACAAAGCCTCCATAACAACCCAAGAGGACTGGGTTCGGAGAGCTTCTGGATAGCTGAACACAAGGAGGTTTTAAGAGGTTGGCGTACCCAGGGAGAGTGTGGAAGCCCCATGCCCCTTCTTCCATATCTTGTCCTATCCATCTCTTCATCTATATCCTTTGTAATACCCTTTACAATAAACCAGTAAATGTAAGTGTTTCCTTGAGTTTTGTGAGCTGCTCTAGTAAATTAATGGAACCCAAAGAGGAGGTTTTGGGAACCCCAACTTGAAGCTGGTTGGTCAGAAGTTCCAGAGGCCTGGACTTGTGCCTGCTATTCGAAGCAGGGGAAGTTCTGGGGACTGAACCTTCAACCTGTGGGATCTGGCACTGGCTTCACATAGATGGTGTTGGAATTGAACTGGAGGATGCCCAACTGGTATCCACTGCAAAACTGATTGCTCACTTGGTGGTGGGGAGAAACATCCCCCTACACCCAACATTTTGATCGTGGATGTCTTCTGTGTTGGTGACTGTTGTGGTGTAGGAGAAGACGAAAAAGTAGTTTGAGTTTTTTCTAAACAAGAAGGATAGGTGGGCTGATATTTAGAATTGGTATTTGACCCAGGAGATATAGGCTCTGCACCCACAAGTGCGTTTGTCTCTGTCATCTTGGACATAATCACTTCAAGTCTTAGTCCCTGCCCCTGCCAAACTGGCCTTACTGTACCATTCACATACTTTGTAACGCTTTGTGAACTAACAAGCACGTCAAGCATTGTGAATGCTCTGGAAGAAAACACCTTATGATCCACCCGTTATTTACTGTTACACAATGACTTTTCCATAAGCATTCAGGGCACACCATGGCTGGGTTCACATGACATAATTTATCACCCTCTTGCTCTGAGACTGTATTACTTTTTCATGTTTTGAAGACTCAGCTGTCTTCAAAATGTCCCTTCTTATTTAATAAATGATCATTTGCAAAAGTGGCAGAGACTGGCAACTGAGCATCATTCAAAACTGAGCAAGGGCCTTTGGACCTTGAAAAGGCTTATGTTCCTCCTTTCCAATAGTTAACTACAGTTCTCACTCTCTCTTAGAATGTCAAGGAGATACATAAATAAAATCCCTCTTGAGATCAGTCAGTCTCATTTTATCATTTTTAAATTTAGAAGGGGAGAGTCACATGGGGTGCTACAATTTTGTTCAATTATTAATCCAGTATTTGGATATATTAGTGTTGGCATTGTCATTGATATTCTTGATCATTGAAAGATGTCCCTAAAGTCAGTGCCAGTTCACATGTCTCTTTTTCAGATGGTTAAAAATGGGGTCCTCAGGCCCAGTGGAAAGCGGTTCCCATGCTCTTTCTTTTGCCCCAAAACTTTCAGAGACAGAAATGTTGAACATTGCCAGAACCCAGAGCGTTTTTTTGAATATCCTTCATGGTGGTAAATCTTTGTCCTTTAAGTCTAGCTATTTTTGGGAAATTGTCTGAAATAATTTAGAACAAATTTGGTATGAAACAAGGAGGACAGTCATGCTGGTGGTGAACACCTTATTCTGGTCAGAAATAAAGCAAAGAAATCAAGTAACAAGAGCAGCCTCTTGTCTCCCCACTTTCTTCTGTCTTCTCCTTGTGGACCTGAGCAATGAGTTAAATAGATGTTTAGCGCAGGTCAGACAAGCAGGCATCTACCCAGTGGGCACACTATTAAGTGCAGCACAAAATCAAAGCTCACTGGATAGAGAGATGGCTTACCATGGTGGAAAGAACATCAGTTTAAGAGCCAACTTGGGCTTAAATCTCAGCAATTAATTCTGTGGCCCTAGATAATTTACTTAAACTCTCTGATTATCAGTTTCTTCATCTGTAAAATGGGGAGTTTTAACACCTGTCTCAAAAGGTGAGTGTTAAGTGAGACAACAGGTTTTAAGGACCTGATACACAGTCTGGCACAGTAGAATTTTGTTCACTGGTAGTGATTGTTGTAAACCTCCAAGTTCCCGTCTGTCAACTCTGACTTTTAAGAATAATTCCTAAATTGTGTCACCTCTTCAGTTGCAGGGTGTTATGCTTTCATAATATTTAGCACTCTATGCTATAACATTTTATGTTTGTCAGTCTCTTCTAGTAGGTAGAGATCTCCCTGAGAATAAGAACTTGTCTTGTTTATGTTTTTATCCATAGTACCTAAGTGCCTAGGTGCCTAGGTCTAGTAGCTGAAAATTAATCCTTGAATAAATGGAATAAAAACTGAAAACATGTCTATTGGGATAAAGACCTAAGCTGTGGTAGCCAAGAAACTCAAAAATACAGTGGCTTAAAGAACATAGTCTATTTCTCTTTTTTGTACCTGTTTCCAGATGAGCTATCCACATCAGTGGGTCAGCTCTGCTCCACATAATCACTCAGGGAACACAGCTTCTTGCATGTGTTGCCCCTCTTTTCCTAGGGCATTGTTACTGTCTGCCTGGAGAATGTTGAATCTCTCCTGTGGCAGCCAGTGAGTAGGAGAAAGACCATGTGGAGGGGCATACCCTCTGATGCAAGGCCCAGGCTCTGAAGGGTTATGCATCACCTCCGCTCACATCCCAAAGAAGATAACTTAATCGCATGATGCAGCTAACTGCAAGGGACACTGGGAAATGCAGCCTAGCCTTATGCCCAGACTGCCTGGCTTGTGTCCTCGTGTGTATCACAGGAAACCTCATACTCAAGCCTTCTTTGCTCCCTAGTTTGGGGTAGGGTAGGCCAATAGGAGACATTGGTGGGGGACTGGAGGGCAGGAGCAGAAGGAAAGGCAGTGTAGTTTTCTACCTCTCTGCTTTAGCTGCATTTCCTCCACAGTTCTGCCTCCTGCCCGATAGTCCTACCCTCCATGATCCCGGCTCTCCTGAGACATGCCCATTGTGGTTCTGGCTTCCTGGGCTACAGTAACATCACCTCCTACTTTGTCCCTTTAACCACAAGGGGAAGGGCTGTTTTCTGATATTGCTAATTTCTTGATTACCTCATTTTCTCCTGTTTGCCTTTTCAATGCTTCCATACACTTTGGAGCCACTTCCCTGTGTTAATTCCCTCTCTTTGAAACACCTGACACAGTTTGTGTTTTCCTGATCAGACACTGATTAAGACAAACAAGAAGAGGAGAATGGATTTTTATGCCTAACGATCAGTCTCCAACACAGTTCACCCCCGGCCACCAATCAGTCATGTGTATTCTTCTTCCCACACATAGAGCACAACCACTCTTCCTCAAGGGAGACCATCCAAAGCACTGCCCCATTTCCGAACTAAGCTCAAAGTGAAGATTCTCAGGCCTAACTTTGTCTCTTCATGGTTCAGTAATCTATGTATACAAAAAGACAATTTATCTCTACACTTCCTTCTCCCTTCAACACACACTCAATATACAATAGTAAAGCAGGAACAGGGCAACTGCAAAAACTCAAAAAGAGAGGAGTAGATTGGGGAGCACATAGCAGTCACTGGTCCAGAACCAAGGAAATCTTGCAGGGCAGACCTTGTGAAGACTCACTACCCCAGCAGGGAAGTGAGTTCCTTGGTTAGACTTTGGCTCTGTTCTTTTAGAGAAATTCCACCCATTCTTCTCCATGTCCCCTGCCCCTGCCCCTGCCCCTGAAAACTTCCTGATTGTCCATTAATCTCTGGAGCCACATCTAGAGTGGGGACTGGGTAATAAGGTTTCCCTGGTAGTGGTGTAGATTGTACAGCCCAGTCCAATGATAAGAACTTGGGGGATGTGATGCTTGCCTGAACTGAATTCTGTATCAGTCAGCATTCAGTGCAAGAAACAGAAATCACCCCAGTGAATTAAGCAGAAGGAAATTCCACTCAGGGCGATGAGTGCTCATGAAATTATTAAAAAGGCTGGAAAAACAGCAGCTAAGGAGTGGCTCCTGGGCTTCAAAACCCTGCTACAGCAGCTCTGATCTGAGGTCCCTGCTGCTACAGTCCAAAGTTCAGGAAGCAACATAAAAATGCTGCCAATGCCACAGCAGCCCAAGTCCCTGAGGCTGGTAATTGGACAGTGGAATGGGGAATCTGCTGTTCCAAAAACCCGTATCTGTTGGAGCCCAGTCATCAGCTTCCACTGCGATGGAGAGACTGATGTCTCCCTTTCTTTCCCTTTCCAAATCTCTTGCAAGAACATCTCAGAGGCAAAACTTACATAACACCCAGAACCCTCAAGGCAAGGAAAACTAGGAGATAAACACAGGGTGTGTCGATTAGGGTCCTCAAGGAGCAAGCACCAAGATGGGATTAGATGTGCAAGATATTTACTAGGAGAATCGTCTCTGCATGATGAAATGGGAGATAACCATGGCAAGGACAAAAAACCAAACACCGCATGTTCTCACTCATAGGTGGGAACTGAACAATGAGAACACATGGACACAGGAAGGGGAACATCACACACTGGGGACTGTTGTGGGGTGGGGGGAGGGGGGAGGGATAGCATTAGGAGATATACCTAATGTAAATGATGAGTTAATGGGTGCAGCACACCAACATGGCACATGTATACATATGTAACAAACCTGCACGTTGTGCACATGTACCCTAAAACTTGAAGTATAATATTAATTAAAAAAAAAGAATGGGAGAAAGCACAACCAGGCAGGGAGAGCCTTCAGACCACAATGCAGATCAGACACTTGTACAAGGAGAGAGGGAAGGAAGGATTGTGTGGGGCAAGCCTCAGGCTGCAGCACAGTTCTAGAACATCTTGACCAGGCTGATGGGGAGTCCTCATGCAAAAATTTCCCATTAGAGGATTTCCACATTGGGCAGGAATAGGCTGGCACTAGGACCCCTACCCTACCGTGCTTATTTCACCAGCTGTCAATGGTGTGGGAAAGTGTAGTCTTAGGGCAAATGTGGCAGATGCAAATACAAGGGACAGCTGGAATTGTCCACCAACCAGTTTCCCTGCAGCAGTTCCTCTTGGAGTGACATAGCTCCATAGCCACCCCACGAGGGACAGAGCGGGTGGAAACAGAAATAAATGGTTGTTGATTTCAACAATATGTGGCACAGCATCCTCATTGGGTGTTCCTTCAATCATCCATTCCTCATCTATCTATCTGAAATAACTTGTGTAGTTACAAGCAAGAGATAACCATTTTCCTCTTGCTTTTGTCTTATCAGAACTTTTAGGAGGAAAAAAATCCGTCAGTAGCATTATGTAAAAATAAAACTATTTTAATGAAAAGTGCTTTAATCGGATTAAAGAAAGCACAAAAGGTCAGTTTGGATTAATATACCGTGTAACCTTTCTATTCCCTGTAAAATTCTTGGAATACCAATACAAGTTGGTCTGCCTTGTTTCCTGAGTTTTGCTGTGATGCCATGCCTGTTATAAAAGAGAAATTTTCATGTACACATAAAATGCAATAATTATAAGAATTTGCCCTTACTAATAGGTACCAGATACTTTACCAAGTGCTTTATATATATCAGCTGATTTTGTTTCATAACAAGTGAGGTATCATGATCATCATGCTCATTTCCAAAGGGGAAAGAGAAAGGTTATGTAGCTCACCCCAGGTCATGCAGCAAGTATGGAAAACAGAAGTCAGATTCTCCTGTTGTCCTTGCCTGCACTCTCTGAGCCCTTCTATGTGCTGCAGGGCTCTATTCTACATAGATCACTCCATCAGTCCACCCAGCCCCATGGAGTGAGTTCTACATGTAGGTCTACAGTTCCTTATCTAGGACCCTTGAGGCCAGATGGATTTCAGAATTGAGAAGTTCTGAAATTTTAGAAGGTACTGTGATTCATATACCACATATAATGTAATGCTTCTAGTGAGGTCTGGGGCAGCACTTCATAATCAATGTAAATATTTATACCAAATGGGATAAATATAAATAAATATTTATATCACTGTCAATATTTCTACCAAGTGGGATAAATGGCCCTATAGTAAGTAAGTAATTGAGTCAGGATTTGAGCCCTGGCTATTTTAATTGGGGTCTGGTTTCTAGGGTATGGGTCTCTCCTTGTACTCAATTCTACCTCCAACATGCAGTGGCACTGATTCTATTATCAGCTGTTTACCTCAGTCTAGGCACTCTGCTAGGCACTTTGCATATCCCATCTCATCAAATTCTCTCAACTGCCTTAGGACATAGGAATCAGCCTCACTTCTCAGTTGAAGTAACTGAGACTCAGACATTAAGTAATTTACCCATTGTTAGGATGTAGCCTGGCAAGATTTGAATCAAGGTCTGTTGGACTTCAAAACGCCACACCAACTTAGTTTTCACAATGAAAGCCCTACACCTTGAGGAGTCTAACAAACTGCCAGCACTTTGGCACTGACACACTCAGCCATACTGGCTGTAGTTCTGCTCCCCAGGCAGCTGGAGCTCTGTGCTCATAATGCCTTTTGTCACTGAAGTATATGTCTTAACATTCCTGATCTCAAGCAATGGTTCAGTTCACTCTCCCTGATGGCAAAGAACAATCTGATATTCCGCTAGGAACACTCAGCAGAGTTGCTTTCATCTTCTTGTCCCTTCTTTCTTGTAAAAAGAAGCCCCATTTCATCAGATGTGATAATCCATTCACATCTGTTCCAAGAGGTTCAGGATTGTATTACTCTGTTCTTGCACTGCTGTAAAGAACTATCTGAGACTGGGTAATTTATAAGGAAAAGAAGTTTAATTGTGCTTACAGTTCTGCAGGCTGTACAGGCTTCTGCTTCTGGGGAGGCATCAGGAAATTTACAATCATGACAGAAGGCAAAGGGGAAGTAGGCACATATTTACATGGCCAGCAGGAGAGACAGAGAGCAAAGGGAGAAGTGTTACACACTTTCAAACAACCAGATCTTGTGAGAACTCTATCACGAGACAGCACTAGGGGAATGGCGCTAAACCATTTGAAACCACCTCTGTGATCCAATCACCTCCCACCAGGCTCTACCTCTAACACTGGAGATCACAATTCAACATGAGATTTGGATGCGGACACAGAGCCAAACCATATCAAGGACATCCACCACTGACACAATTTATTGTCATTAGTTTCTAAGCCTTTCTTGGGTGTCTGCTGCTAGCAGAAGAAAGAAACACAGAAGAAAGGAAGGTTTCTCATGATTCTCCCCTGGTTGCACCAAGAGGCTGCTGAGGGCCTGAGAGATCTGTTACAGGTAGGCGCCACCGTAGATCATCCCTTTATTCTTTCCAATTTGCCACATAACTATGGCAATTTCATGGCTAGAATTTTAGCACAGTCCAAATATATATCATATGTGGTTCTGACATATTCTACCATTTAGTGAATGGTTATTATGTACTAGACACTGCTAAACATGTATAAAAACACGTCATTCAATCTCTTCTATCACCTTAGGCAGGGATTATTAAAGGCTTATTAACCCATTTTACAGATGAGAAAACTAAGACTCAGAGGGACTAAATTTCCATAGCTAAAATGAGCCACAGATCCAGGATTCTAACCCAGGTCTTTCTGAACCAACAGTCTCTGCTATTAACTCCAGTACCTCTCTTACAGTCACTTTCATTACCCCAACAGTAACTGCACTTGTCATGCCACATGCCTGATTTGGGTGTAGACATTCTCGACTCTGTGTATTATATAACTTCTGCTCTCCAGCTGTTTGGAACTTATTCTGATATCACCTATAATTTGGTCTAACTATACTTAAAATATTCAAAAACATGTTGGTCAGTCAAATCAAATTTACTGGTGGGCAGAAGAATGTTATATGCTATTGCCATTAACTTCTTCCATCTCAGAAATCTATGTGGGATTGAAACAGGTATTATGATCATGTTGCAAATGAGAAAAACTATAGCAGAGAAAGGTTAAGAGGTATGTCCAAACATGTTTATTAGTTTAATAATTTGTAACGGGTTATTTTATGTCCCCTCCCCAAAAGATATGTGAAGTCCTAACATCCAGTACCTGTGAATATGACCTTATTTGGAAACAAATTCTTTACAGAGGCAATCAAGTTAAAATGAAGCCATTAGGGTGAACCTTAATCTGATATGACTGTTGTCTTTATGATATGGCTTAGATATTTGTTTCTTCCAAATCTTATGTTGAAATGTGACCTCCGATGTTGTAGGTGGGCTTAGTGAGTGGTGTTTAGGTCATGGGGGCAGATTCCTCATGAATGGCTTCGGGCTATCCTGTATGTAATGACTGAGTTCTCACTTAGTTATTTCACATGAGAATTGGTTGTTTAAAGGAGCGTGGCACCTCCTCCTCTCCTTCTTGCTCCTTCTCTTGCCATGTGACATCCCTGCTTCCCCATCACCTCTGACATGACCAAAAGCTTCCTGAGACCCTCACCAGAAGAACATGCTGCTGCCATGCTTATACAGCCTGCAGAACCATGAGCCAAATAAGCCTTTTTTTCTTTATAAATTACCCAGCCTCGGGTACTCTTTATAGTAATGCAAATGTGACTAAAACATCTTATATAAGGGGGAAATTTAGACACAGAGACAGACATGAACAGAGAGAAGATGGTGTAAAGACACACAGGGAGGAGCTAGCCATGTGGCTGGAGTGATGCGCAAGCCAAGAAACACCACGGATTGCCAGCAAAGGCCAGTGGTAGAAGAGGCAAGAGAGGATTCTCTTCTAGACCTATCAGAGGGAGCATGGCCCTGCCAACACCTTGATCTCAGACTTCCAGCCCCCAGAACATGAGACAATAAGTTTCAGCTGTGTTAAGCCACCCCATTTTGGGTACTTTGTTAGCACAGCCCTGGGACACAAATACCATCAATATTTATGAGGGCCCATCAGGTGCCCAGCACCGTGCCAGGCTAGAGATAGAATAAGACATAGGATTTACAATCAAGCACTGACAGCAGACATTCAATCAAAAATCCACAAATAAATATTCACAGTTGCCCTATGCACTGTGAAATAAAGGAGAATTCCTTGGTACAGGAACACTGGATTCTAACCTCATCTGGGGGTCAGGAAAGGTTTCCATGAAAAAAAATGAGTTTTAAAGCTGAGGCTAAAAGGGTCTCAGGAGTTGGAGAAGGGTATTTAATGGTCATGCACAAATATTCTGGGGAAAGAAAACAGTTTGTGAAATCATGAATACAAGGACAAAAAGAAGGGGTTTGGGGAAAGGTAGAGGAGACAGCCAGGGGCCTGAGTGTGCCCGTAAATATCAGCGTTCAGCAGGAGCCTCCTGATTCCAATTGCTTGTCTAATTTCCACCTCCCACCCCACCTGAGCATCGGTCCTGGAGGATCTGTACCGTGCAGGACCAGCCTTATCTGGAAGAGCTGATCATTTGTACCACTCAGCCAGCTTTGCACTCGGCCGCTCAAGGCCACCAACCCTTGCCTTGCCTAAGTCTCAGTCAGAGGGGCACCTGCTGGGAAGATGAATGTGACTTGCTTTGGGCTTAGCTACCATTTACCCAAACTCAAGGGTCTGGAAAAGGTCTCCTTAGTTACAGTCAAATGGTCAGTAACTTCAGTTTATGGCCGTGTCTTTTTTCAATTTCTTAGAGTTCGTGACTTTGAGTTCTGCATGAGTAAAGGAGTATTTTGGCACAATAGAAAAGGAAATGATTTATTATCCCTATTGCCTCAGACACGGATGCTATGGCAACATCGAGGCTCATTGCCGGCCCTCAAGTTGTGCACCCTGGGTTTTTGTCTCAGATCTCTCATTTTCACAGTAACCTTCACTTTGGACTCTTTATGGTCCATATAAAGAGAAAAATAATAGTGTCTGCTTCAAATTAAAGTTCTTGGGAGGATTAAATAAAAAAAAACACTTAGCAGAGTACCTGGCTCTTTGCAAGCACCCAGTTGATGTTAAGGAGTATTATATTATTAATATTGTTATTACTCCTATTAATTAAAGCCTTTTACAATAGGAGCACACTTTTAGACTTTCAGGCGACTAACTACATTCCCATATTCTTCATAATCAAGACTAAGCATAGGTAAGTGGTTAGTGGCTATGATGTTAATTAACTTTCTCCAGTAAAAAGGGACAGAGGAAAACTCTGCACTTAAACAGCTGATTCGATACAATGAGGTCTATTCCGCAAAGTCTGTCACAGGGGGCCCTCTGCTTTCCACTCAGAGGAAACAGAACTTAGAGAGCAAAAAGATCACCACTCCCCTCCTTTTTAATTAGAAAGCACTAAGAAGATGAAAACGCATAATAAGGCTCTCCAGTAGTTAAGTGTAATTCACGCAATGTGTGCCTGGGGACTCTCTCCATCATTACTCCAAGAGGCCGAGCACTACAGTGAGGAGCTGGCTATGGCAGAGCCTGGCATCATCAAGAGTTCAAATCTCAGCTGCATCATTTACTAGCTGTGAGACATTTACAGGGCAATTAAGCTTTACTGAGCCTCAGTTTCCTCGTGGGTAAATGTGACGATAATGACACCTATATCTCAGTGTAGTTGTGAGAGTGAAAGTTGGTAATGTGGTAAATGATGCTACTGACTACCATATGTTGAAAATATGACACATCCGAGGACATGGGAGGCACCCCATGGACATTAGCCCTTGGTATTATTTTGGGAAAACTCAAGCATCCGGCATAGACTCTTTCATGTGTGAGATCGTGGGTCACAAGAGATTTGAAGGGGTCATTAAGTAGATGGCAGCACTTTCATTGTTTTCTGAGTTGAAGACTGAACCTTCAAAATCAAATAGGCTGTGTGAACTCAGGAGTAAAAACAGGTATGGAGAGGGGAAAAGAGAGTAGAGGCAGGGAGAGTCTCAAGCTTTTTTTATTGAAGCTTTCAGACTCTAGAAAATTCTTGGCAGTCAGGGTTAAGTGGCGTAGACTAAAGGAGTCAGTGTTGCACAACGGTTAAGTGAAGAGGCTGTAAACCCAGACTGGATGGGTTCAATTCCCATCTCTGCCGTTACTAACTGTGACCCTCAGCAAGTTAAATTAGGTGCCTTCATATACTCATCTGTAAAATGGGTGTAAAATAGTGACTGCTTCTCTGGGTAACTGGCACTTAGTCCAGTGCTAAGCATGTGGCAAATATTTAAAAATGTTAACTGTTAACAGACCTGAACTGACTTGCTAATTTGTCTGCAAATTAGCAAGACAAATTTGACATTTTAAATGACTGTCGGGAACTAATTTGTTTCTGGAATTAATTCAAGGTTATAACTTGACACCTTATTATTCAAGTATTAAGTCTGGCCAACATTTTTCCATTTTGTGATTTTGTTACTGAAAAGCGGTCCCAATCTAGACCCCAGGAGAAGGTTCTTGGATCTTATGCAAGAAAGAATTCAGATCAAGTCCACAGAATATAGTGAAAGCAAGTTTATTAGAGAAGAGGTAAAAGAATGGCTACTCCATAGGCAGAGGAGTGGCAAAGACTGCTTGACTGAGTACACTTATGATTATTTCTTGATTATATGCTAAACAAGGAGTAGATTATTCATAAGTTTTCAGAGAAAGGGGTGAGGAGTTTCCAGAACTGAAGGTTCCTCCCTTTTTTAGACCATATAGGGTCACTTCCAGACAGTGCCATGGCATTTGTAAGCTGTAATGGCCCTGGTGGGAGTGTCTTTTAGCATGCTGATGCATTGTAATTAGCATATAATGAACAGTGAGGACCAACAGAGGTCACTTTCATCATCATCTTGGTTTTTGTGGGTTTTGACTGGCTTCTTTACTGCATCCTGTTTTATCAGCGGGGTGTTTGTGACCTGTATCTTGTGCTGACCTCCTATCCCATCCTGTGACTAAGAATGTCTAACCTCCTAAGAATGCAGCCCAGCAGGTCTCAGCCTCATTTTACCCAGGCCCCGTTTAAGATGGAGTCACTCTGGTTCAAACGCCTCTGATGATTTTAATCAAGCCACTTTGATTTTGACCTTAGAGATCCCTGAGATAGAACAAGTATATGTAAATATTTCAGGTAAGACATTTGATGTAGTGGGGAGCCCAATGCAAAGGCTTTCATTATAAGTGCACCAATAATTTCAACAAGATTTCACATTACAATCATAAGAGTTAATATTTATAATATTTGAGATTTATAGAAACCATCACAAATATTAACTGCCTTTGTTCTTTGAGTTTCCCTCCTTTGCTCTTCAACAGGTAAGGTCTGTCTATTGATTCGGGGAAGGCAGGCAGAAAGTTTGCTTTGCTTTCATTTCCAAAATTCCCAGCCTTAAGGGAAATGCAGGTGCCTCTGAACTATTAAGTGGAAAGGATTGGAACGAGGAATGGTAAGTGAGGGCGATAGAGATATTAGTGGGTCCTGAGGAGAGAAATGCACTTGAACCTGAACTCCGATTCCTGGTTTTGAGTCCCTGAGAGGGTCAAGACCTCAGGGGAGTTTGGGAGACCACGCTTTGCTGAAAAGATAAGTTGATCTTTGCAAGATTTGTGGGAAATGTACAGTTCTGCAGTAAAAAAGTTGGTAGGTCTTCTTCAAGGTTGACCAATGTCTAGGACCCATCATGGAGCTTCTACCCTTGATGTCATCTAAACCTACTTACCTCCCAAAGGCCCAATTTCCAAGTTCCATTGCACTGAGGGGTTCAAATTCCATATGAATTTGGGGCAGATGGGCACAGTTCAGCCCAAAGCACCCAGTCACCCCTCCAGCCCCCATTCTGCCTGTGGAAGTTCCATGCTCAAGTCCCCAGGACCCACCCTTACACTATAGTTCCCAGCCTGGGCTTCTGCTCTGCCAAGAGTAGAAAATTCCACCACTTTAAATCGTCCCCTGCTCCTACCTCTCTTTAATTTGTCTTCTGCTCTATTTTCTTGCTCAAGTCAGCTGATGACTTTTCACAAAAGGAAAACGCAGGTACTTCTGGGCAAAGCAAGAAGGGATGCCCTGTATCACCTTCTAATAGCAAGAGGCTGGTATTCCTGGAGTTCTGGAGCATCTGCAATTGGATACCTTACGGCTGCTCCCTGAGATCACTGACTGACTTCTGAGATGTGTGGCTGTGGTGACGGGATGAAGTAGAATAATAACCTGGATTCACTGGACCCCAGGGATGTGTTTTTCACATTGTGTTTGCTCTGTGTAGACCCAGAGTTCCACAGATACACAAGGGAATGGGGACACTTTGTGGGTGCAGCTCTGACCAGTGGTCTAGGTGAACTTGCTTTTATTGGCTGGTAAGAGCCAGTTGTTATTTTTTATAAATTCTGTGATCTGGTTGTTAAACAAAACCATTAAAACTCAAAGTAAATAAACATGCAATTAAATAAATTAGTAAAAATAGAGAAAAATACTCAAAACTCACCATTTTTAGTTATTTTACTATATTTTTCCATTATCTGTGCTCTTGAGATTCCGTACGTCTATTTTAACTATAAGGCAAAACTAATATATATTATATATAACTAATATATAATATATATAACTAATATATAACGTATGTAATGAATATATCTTACAATATATAAATATATTATACTGCTACTGCGCATCTCTACCCAATTCTGTCTTCAGTGAAATTGACCAAGGTAGGAGTATTAACACACCACAGAAATTTGGAAAAGCTTCAAAACAGAACTTTTCCCCCTACGAGAACCAGTTGTTAATATAGTTAACATAGGCTTAGGGGTTTGGAAAATCTTGAGGAAGACCAGAGCAGAAGCCTAGGCTGTGAACTATGATACAAGGGCAGGTGTTGGGTACTTGAGCATGGAACTTCCAGAGGCAGAATCGGGGCTGAGTGGTGACTGAGTGCTATGGGCTGAATTATGCACCACCCCCTATGTTGAAGCCCCAACTCTCAGTGCGATGCTGTTTGGAAATGGGGCCTTTGGGAGATAATTAGGTTTAGATGGGGTCATAAGGGTGGAAACTCCATGATGGAATCAGTGTTCTTATAAGAAGAGATAAAAGAGAGTTTGCTGGCTCTTTTTCTCTCTACCATGTGAGGATACAGTAAGGAAGTCTTGAGGAAGTGAGCTCTCACCTCTCAAGAAACCAAATCTTGTAGTACCAGCCTCCAGAAGTGTGAGAAATACATTTCTGTTGTTTAAATCATCCAGGCCATGATATATTTCTGTAGCAGTTTGAGCTAAGACACTGGGTGAGGAGTATGAAAACACTACAAGAGGAGTGATGCAGGGCTCTGCAGGAAAGCCCAGGGGTCCTGCCAGTCAGAGCATCCTAACAAGGACATTGGTACCCTATGAAGCCCTATAGTGGAGACAACAGGCAGCTGAAATATTTTCAGACTTCAACCTGTGTCAGTCAGCGTATAATAAGGAGACAAAAAGCACACCAGTTATTTTAACAGAGAGAATTTAACATCAAGAATTATATCTAATTCTGTGAAAAAAGTCAATGGTAGCTTGAAGGGGGTAACATTGAATCTGTAAATTACTTTGGGCAGTATGGCCATTTTCACGATATTGATTCTTCCTATCCATGAGCATGGAATGTTTTTCCATTTGTTTGTGTCCTCTCTTATTTCCTGGGTACTGGTTTGTAGTTCCCCTCGAAGAGGTCCTTCAGATCCCTTGTAAATTGTATTCCTAGGTATTTTATTCTCTTTGTAGCAATTGTGAATGGGAGTTCACTCACGATTTGGAACATACACCATGGAATACTATGCAGCCCTAAAAAAGGATGAGTTCATGTCCTTTGCAGGGACATGGATAAAGCTGGAAACCATCATTCTCAGCAAACTAACACAGGAACAGAAAACCAAACACTGCACGTTCTCACTTATAAGTGGGAGTTGAACAATGATAACACACGGACACAGGGAGGGGAATATCATACACCGGGGCCTGTCAAGGGGTGGGGAGCTAGGGGAGGAATAGCATTAGGAGAAATACCTAATGTAGGTGACGGGTTGATGGGTGCAGCAAAACACCATGGCATGTGTATACCTATGTAGCAAACCTGCACGTTCTGCACATGTACCCCAGAACTTAAAGAATAAAAATAAAAGAATTATTATCTGGGTATGAAATAGTTATCTAGTTAAGTGAGGGTAAAAAAAAAAGACAAAGGTTTCAAGGTGTCAGAACAGCAGAAGTGGCAACCTCCTCCAGGGTTGGAGGAACAAAGGGAAGATCTTAAGTTTTTTTAAACGTAGAAACTCCGAGGAGGAATCCTGTGAATTGAAACTCAGATCCTTCAGGGGCCTTGTTGCTTGGTTGCAGCTGGGCTCTATGGGGCTGGAAGAGAGCAATCAGCTGCTTTTTGCAAATAGTGAAAAAACTAGTTTCAGCTGTTGCCACAGGAAGAAACCGCTGCTGCGGAGGGGAAGATAGCAAGGTGAAGGAGACTGTCACAAGCTGGAAGGAAACAAAGGAGCAAGTTACTCATCTCTCTTGCAGCCGCACAGTCTCCGTCTGGCGCCCTCTGTTGGTAGTGCCTATTCAAACACCAAGTGGATGTGTGACTTTCAGAGAGCTCAGAGAATTGACACTTCTGGATATGGTGTAAGGCTGCCCCTTGAAGTGGGAGATGATTAAGCCTAGATAAGGGCAAGAGCCTGAAGCTCAAGGAGAGACAGCACTTCCTTCTGCCAAATCCGAAACTGAAAGAAGAGATGGCCCCAATGCTTTCTTGCCAAAACGTTGCTTTGACTACTCTAATGTCAATTTAGGAAGGAAAAAAACATTGCTTCAGCTTTTTTAAGGGTTGAAAGCTTAAGGAGCAGTGTTTGGGAAATGAGTCAGAATTCTGGAAAAAGAATAAAATAGATATTTGAAAGAGAAGGATCTGAAACCAAGTGAAAGCCTTGATAAGCACATTTCTTGTCAGCATCTATTTAAGTGGCCCATTTAACATAGGGTGCTGTTAAGCTATTTTTTCATTAGATAGGAATTTAGTCATCTTATATGTTTGAGATTTTTAGGTATATTTTAAGTTTCAGAATCTTCTCTTATTCTCAGCTGACCTCCTTTCTAAAAAGAAGTGAGAACTCCATATCTCTGCCTTGGCATCCAGTGACTATCAACAAAACCCTAGTAGGTCACCTTTTCTGATAACAGTATCTGCCTCAGTAGAGAAAATCTTTTGTCCTCTAGAAAAGTATCTTAGCAGCTGAATCTCAATAGCTATGATCTACTGCTTACCTTTCCAGGGGAGGGCCAGGCTCCTTGGTTAAATGCTACAGGATGTAGCAGTGAAGGAGGTATAGTTCCTGCCTACAAGAGGTCATAATTTAATAGAGGAGGCAGCAACACAGCCAAGACAGTACTTGGAGGAGCCATAACTCTGCCCAAGGGTGGGTTAGGGGGCTTGAAGTAGTTAAAGAGTGGGCAATCTGCAGATAAAATGGCACATCTGTGGTAGCTTCTGAAGAACAAGCAGTAGCTTGCTAGGTAGAACAGCGAGAACATTCCAGGCAAGGAGAACTCTATGGTGTGAAAGAGGATTAACAATAGGGGGGGCTACAGAGAGGTCTCTGAAGATAAGAGGAGGCCAGGTCATAAAAGAATCTTACACGTTCTTTGAGGCATTTGACATTTATCCTGGAGGTGATGGGGAGCCATCAGAAGAAGCTGCTTATGCAGCAGCTGTGCAGTCACCAGTGTCTAGAGATGGCCCACGACAGAGATACTTTCATTCCCCCAAGAACTGCACTTCCTACTCCACATGGCTCATCGCACAAAAACCAATTGCAAAGGCTTAGACACAGAACTGTTGTTACTGATACTTCTGCAAATGCTAAGCTTTGGCTGTTCAGAGCGAGGCCTCCAACTAGTCCCTTCCTCTGTCTGCTTTGAGTTATATTAATTATTGTTGTGTAACAAACAACTCCAAAGCACAGAGCTTAAAACAACCATGAATTGTCATTGCTCATGGATCTGCAACAGGGCTGGTGTGGCTCTGCTCCACGTGCTTCTGATACTTCTCCTAGGACCAGCAGGCTATCCTGGGCATGTTCTCCCAGAGATGGCAAAAGAGCCAGAAGGTGGGTGAAACATGTGCATCCTCTTAAGGACTAGGCTCGAAACCATTCACTGTGTTATTGGCTGATGTAAATGTCATGGCCAAGCCCAAAGTCAAGGCTCACGAAAATACAACCTGCCCACAATGAGGCCATTAAAGCTGTGAAAGCAGAGAGGGATGAGAAATTGGAGCCAATAATACAATCTACTACACCCATCTTGGTGACTTCATTCTATGGATCCTTTTTTCCATTTTCTTCTTCCTCATTTGGATGGGCACTAACAGATGAAAACTTAAATTTCAAAATGAGTCTCAGGTCTCACTTCAGGTGGGCTACTGATAGTATATTTCTTGTGGTGGCTTTGTGCAGTGTCGACCTGGCTAAGCTAGAACTACATTTTCTGGAATTCCCTTCCCTGTTCAGTGAGCCCTGGTTGGGGTTGGCCAAGACAGAAATATGTCCCAGTTTTGGAAGTTAAGAGTCATATCATTAGGCACTGTCGTCACTCATGATCTTGGCATAGTGCCGCTGCCAAGCCTACCTCTCCTTCAGCTTGTGCAGGATTTCCTTCGTCAACTTCTCTGAATCTTGGCCAAGGTATACATACAACTCCCTGGTAAAAGGCACCAGTATGACCTGCATCATTGAGGTTGGAAACAAAAGTATGTCCAGATTCATTCTCATGGGTTCCAGTTTGTCCTTGCTTCCTCTGTTTCGTGTCCATCTTTTCTTTCTGATTTATTCCACTGTTGACTTCAGCTCTAACCTCAAATATAGAAGAAATAGCTTTACATAGACTGCTTAATAAGTTTTCACAGTTTTTTAAGGTCTAATTCTCATAATAGTAAATCTCTCATTCTCTCATTCTGTATTACTCATTTTGATTCTGTTTTTAAAAATCAAACCCTGATACATCTATGATTAGAATAGGTGATTTAAAATAGTTGAAAGGCAGATCATGGGTTGGTCCTATTTATTTGTTCATTCATGTTTTCATTCATCATCTGTACATTTACTGGGCATCTGCTACACGGTAATCCACTTACTCTGGATATAAAGGTCTATAATATAACTTCTATACAATAAGAGTCGCTGCCCTGGAGATAATCACAGTCTACAGAGAGCAATGCAATAAAGCAAGAATGATAATGCAATATGGTAACTGCTAATAATAAAGAAGCACAAAGTAGCACATGTATAGAAATATAGAGAAAGGTGTATCTCAAGCTGTTTGGGGGTAATTAAAGATCTTCCTAAGAGGTATTGAATGAGCTGCAATTTGAAGGATGAGTAGAAATTCATCAATGGACTAGCAGTTTCACTAGCAGTGTAACTTGGACAAGTTATTTAAATTCAGTGTCTCAACTTCTCATATTAGGATACAATATTGGGATAATAATTGTGCCCGTGTCACTGGGTCACTGTGAGGACGACATAAGTTAATACACATAAAGTGTTTAGAAGAGTGCCTGGCTTATCTGGTGAAGGCTGAAGAAATATAGTTACTATTGTAACTAACTGTTCCTATGATGATCACTTTTTGTCCTTGGTTTACTGTGCTCACTCACATCACTGGCCTAGAACAATGGAATAATGCTGAGCAAAGTAGTGAATAAGTAGAATAAAGAGATGAAAGAATACAAACTCCTGTGTCCTAAAATGCAATCTGTCTAGTGAGACAAAGGGCTAACTAACACTTCAGAGAATAGACTGTGATGCCATTCAAGTTTCCTGTAGAAACACCAATTGTGTATTTAAAATAGTGGCCTGTCTTATCTCTCTTGCCCTTTCCAAAATTCATTATGCTTGTAGAGGTTCTTAGAGACTAAATACTCTGTGACCATAAAATATCATGGCATCAATAATGGTTCTAGCCCCCAAGAAAACAATCCATGTGAAACCCAGCATTAAATCAAAGCTGAGCCACTGAAGGTGAGGAAGGAAAGGGTCTATAAACTGTGTCAAAATAGTGGGTTTAACCAACAGAGAAACCATATGATGAGAAAGATTATAGTGATGCGGAGGTTGAATTGCATAAAAAAAGAAAAGAGAATTTCACTGACAACGAGGCAAAGATTTACAGGAGAAAAAAAGAAGCAGGAGAAAGCAGCAAGAAGTGTTTAAGTGAGGACTAAAATTTTCAAAGTCATTTGTGGGCGTGTGAAAAAAGAAGGAGGCCACGGATTTCCTAGAACTCAAACTGGGAGGAATGAGAAGCAAAGTCTAGGCAAACAGAGAAAGACATAGATGAGATCAAGTTGGAGGCAACCTTAGATCCACAAGGGAGCTTTCAAAGAGGGGCAGGGAGAAAAATTAGCATAGAAAGCCAGCCCTGAAAAGTCAGAGGCTAAGGTGTTATGGAGACAAAGGAAGATGGCTTTAAGAATTCATGAAAGAAGAAGCTTATGGTGGAAAGAAGGATTTCTTAAAAAAAAAAAAAAAATCATGAAAAGAACCCCCTGGGAAATGATGGCTCCATTCAACAATATTTATTGAGCACCTATAATAGACCATATGCTGAGGTCTGTGCTGGCTTTGGAGAGATTAAACAACAATGACATACACCACCATAATCACCATCATGACCGTCAAAAATTGGCCATGTCTAGTGATGCACAGCTGAAAGTGTCTACTTCTCCATTGGTTTTACGGAGGAATTTTATCCGCTCATCACAACAGCCCTGTGGGAGTATAGAGGGCAGATATTGTTATTTTAATTTCACACACGACGGAGTGCAAGCTCAGGGCGATCAATGAATGGCCCATTTGGCACAGAGGCCAAATGCACAGTGGGACTGGGAGACCCAGCCTCCTGACTCCTGTTCCCAGACCAGTCCATGCTGCTGCCATGTAATGAATACCATTTGTGATGATTAAACTCGGAGCATTTTCTGTGATACTTATTAACGTATATTTCTATTTTTTACTCCCAGAACAGTATTCTTCTAAGAAGCCTGAGGCATTTTAAACATTTCGAATTCTGATGCATTCAACCATCCTTAGGAGGCATAGAATGACACACAATTCCTAAGTGGTAGGTGCTTAACGGAAAAACAGAAATATACCAATTCACATTTCCTTATTTAAAAAAAAAACTCTGACCTCCTAGTAGGAAAGTAAATGTAAATTAGTAATGAAATGAGGTTAGAGCCAATAATGAAGTCAGAGCATAATGAGACAGTCCCAAGGAAGATCTGGAATATTTGTATTCAAAGCCATTTGCCCAAAGGGTCCCAAGTTAAAAAACATGAAAGCGAGGCCTGACCACACAGACCAGTCAAATACACAGGATCAGAAGGATGTCGAGGCTGGACACAATCCTGGAAAATTGGTTTTCACAATATGGCCAGTTTTTTTTTCCTCTTCTCATAATTGCATTTTTTCCATATCATAGGGTATACATTAATTGATTTGGTTTGTCAGAAACTCATATTTTCAGGGTTCTCTGGTTGTCTAAGTGTTGACTTCCTAAATATACATGATTGTTTTCACAGGTTTGGTTTATACTAAGAGGAACTAGATCTTTTTCAGAAAAGGAAGTTACATGAACATTAATATTTCTTCTTTTACTCAAGATTCCTATTTATGGCTGACTTCACCTACCTATAGCATGAACAGCAATCTGGATTGCTGCCTTCCTTCCTCTCCTCCTTCATGGAACATCCCTTCCTTCAGGGGGTAACACTGGATCCCCGGATTTCTGTCTTGCTGCCTGTGCACATAGAGAAAGTCTCCAGTTCACCTGCTCTAACCCATTCTTCACGCGACCACCAGGGAGGGCGTTTTACATGCAGCTCTGACCATGCCATGCCTTTCCTCAAAGCATCTCGACGGTGCCTCGCTGTCTCTAGGATTAACCTCAGGACCCTTATTTGGTGTACAAGGTCCTTCCATTTCTGACCCTGCTTTTATCACCAGTCTTACTTTCTTTTAAATTGCAATTCATTTACGTTCCAGATGTGGGAGGCTCATGTCTGCTTCTGTGTCTTTGCACATGTATGACTGGAACATTTCTTTTCTCTCTTCTCTACTTTGTTAGGCCTGTGAGCTTCTATACATCCCCCATATAAGATGCTCCACCTATTTGTCCCTTACTTCTCTATCTCACACTCATCCTGATACAATTAACTTCCATTTTCCTTATCTATTTCTTCTGCTAGGGCACTAATAATATAACATGTTCCACATATGTAATATTAAATTTTCTAGTAGCCACATTTTTATAAAGGTAAAGTCCCAAGTGATTAATTTTAGTAAATATTTATTGGACCCAAAGTATCCAAAGTATTATTATTTCAACATGTAATACATATGTAAATTATTAATGGGACATTTTTCATTTTCCTTTTTACATTAGGTCTTATAAATCCAGTGTGTATTTTATGCTTATAGCACATCTTGATTAAGATGCTAAATTTGCCTTGGAAATGCTTGACCTGTACTTAGATTTCATGATATTTAGGCTTTATAAAAAAGACTCACATTCTTATTCTTCCAAGCATATGTAAAAGTTTTCCAGTAATGGAATTGAGTATTCACTTTTAAGCTAAAATTAAGTGAAATTGAAGAAAATGACCAATGAATTTCCTCAGTTGCATCAGTCACATTTCAAGTGCTCATAGCTGCAGGTGGCCAGGGCTGGGCTACATACTGGGCAGTGCAGGTCTAGTCAGTGAGGTCCTTAAGGTCTCGTGGTTCTTCCAATTGCACAGCTCCAGGGGCCACTCCTCCCACTGTGTTCTGCTCTTTGATGGGACAGCCAAGGGATATAGTGTCTCTTTCCTCTCCATGCTTCCAGCACCCAAGACAGAGCCTGACATACAGCAGGTGCTTAATACATATCTGAACAAATGAATAGTTGGGACTGCAGGTGAGAAGTGAGGGCAAAAGAAATGAATTTCACTGGGCTCTCAAGTTTCAATTTTTAATGAAGATGTGTAAGCACAAAGAAGCTCCCAGGTTCTCCTTCTGAGTGACAAGAGATGTCATTTAGTGAGATTAAAAAGAACAAAAATCCCTTAGCTAACTTTATTTCCAGAAAGTTTTCCCAATTTTTAAGTGTCTCTGTGATTCTGGATTCCATCCAGACCCCAATATGGCACTGTCAGGCCTTGAAAGAATGAGATTTCAGTGGCAGGCTGGTCCCCACGGGAAAGGAGTTCCAGAAATGTGACAAGAGTTTTAACAGTTTTCTAGGGAAGATGTAAGAGCTTTGAACACTTCTGTAATAAAGCTTAAAAAGGAAGAGTTTGAACATCTAATTGCTTTGGCCTTGGTAGGGGTTATGCTAGAATGGTGCAGAGGCAGATGGCAAAGACAAACCTAGCAGACCTTCTCATCCCTTGCATGCAAAGAGGCACTCCCTTTGTGACAACTCCACAGCCCCAAAAGTAGGAAAGAAAGAACAGAGAGAAGGGCAGGGAATGTGGAAGGGTCCAGAGACCTGAAAAAATACAGTGTGTGTTGAAAGGGCTGTGGCCACACTGACGGTTTATTTGGAACAAAGTGTTCACAAATCACTGCCCTTGGCCTAACATGTTTAATTAGTGGGCCAAGATGGAGAGCGTGTCACTGCTAGAAGCAATGCCACAGAGATGAGTAGTTTGAACCTGACTTAGGGAGCATGTGGGTTCTTAAAAGAGACAAGGTAGCAGGCGCATGTCTCAGATATGTGGTTCCATAGCCAACCCCAGCTACAACTGCGCCTGGTTTGCGGCAAGAACTCAGTGACTACTTGAAGCTCTGGGACTCTCCCTGCCAGTCATTCTCAAACTTCAGCTGAGGACAAATAGCTCCTTCCAAAATGGAAGGGTCCAAAGAGAGCAAGCACTTTGCCCCATGGCACTGCTCAGGGCCATGAAACTGCCTTATACTCATCTTTGTTTACCTTTTTCTATACTTAAAGACAAAATAATCCATATATTCTCATCCTTAGGAAATATATTTAATTCTTTCTTGGAGGGACAGGACATTTCAGCTTGCCTTTACCCACCCATCAGCACCAGTTGGAGATGGGAATGGATTGAATTATGTGAAGCAAGCAGTGCCTAAAATCTTTTGCTTCCCCTCCCCAGATCAATGTTCTATGGTTTCAATGTTCTATGAGCTAGAGCATTGTAGAAGCTCAGCTGAACCATTGCCATCAACCAATAGGCTTATGTCTAGGAAATCCTTTCAAGTAAGAAGAAAATCTGGGGATGGGCAAGGGCAGAGAAAAAAGAGGGAAAATTAGAAAACACCGTGCCTATCTCTACGTAGTGGATGCTGTGATATGCCACCCAGGTCCTGCCTTCAGGACAAAGGCACTCATTCCCCCACCTGCTTGGAGTGATTCTTTCTGACGGTGCACAGCTGAATTTCTCCCAAAGAATTGCCCTCAGAGTAAGGCAGCTGCCTCAGCCAAGGGCACACCCATTCCTGGGGCAGCCTACAATTAATAATTGGTCAGTATAGGGATTCAATGGCCAGCCCCATTGCCTCAATTCAAGACAACTCCGGAGGGCCCTCCCAGCTCTCGAGCTCCCCGTGGGATTGGCTGAGGCCTTTGTTGAGACTGCACGGCAGCTCAGCTCCCCACTCTGCCCAATGCTGCTTCCAGCTCCTTTCCCTCTTAGCACTGGAACAAATCATCTTTGCTTCAGTTGAGCACCAGATGAAATAGTTGGCTTGACTTCAGGGCCCATGATATAAGAAAAATACTCATTTTCAAATACTAGAGTCAGCTTCCCTAGAAAAAAGATGTTTGTAGCAACCCAGCCTTATGAGGGGATAGAATATTTAGATCTGCCAAATCATTCTGCATCCTGCAGCATAAAACATGATATGCAGAATGTCTTTTTGGGGGTGGGACAGGAATTAGTCTGTCCTCATGCTACTATAAAGAAATACCCGAGACTGGGTAATTTAGAAAGGAAAGAGGTTTAATCGACTTCAGTTCAGCATGGCTGGGGAGTCCTCAGGAAACTTACACTCATGGTGGAAGACAAAGGGGAAGCAAGAGTCCCTTATAAAACCATCAGATCTCATGAGAACTCACTCACAATCACGAGAACAGCATAGGGGAAACCACCGCCATGATTTAATTACCTCAACCTGGTCCTGCCTTTGATACGTGGGGATTACGGGGATTACACTTCCAGGTGAGATTTGGGTGGAAACACAGAGCCAAACCATATCAATATGGCATTTAACTTAGAAGTATGTATGATGTGACTTACATTTACTCATATGTCACCCTCAATAGACTGTAAGGTCTGTGACATAAGGAACTGTGGCTCGCCTTGCATCCCCGATTCATTCCTCTGGTTCAGGGTGTGGCACGTACAGCTGCTCTCTCTCTCTCTATATATATATATATATTTATTTGAGACAGAGTCTCGCTCTGTCCCCCAGGCTGGGGTACAATTGCGCTATCTCAGCTCACTGCAACCTCTGCCTCCTGGGTTCAAGTGATTCTTGTGCCTCAGATTCCAGAGTAGCTGAGATTACAGGCACACACCACCACACCTGGCTAATTTTTTGTATTTTTAGTAGAGATGGAGTTTCGCCATGTTGCCCAGGCTGGTCTTGAACTCCTGAGCTCAGGCAATCTGCCCACCTCAGCCTCCCAAAGTGCTAGGATTACAGGCGTAAGCCATCACGCCAGGCCTAGCTGCTCAATATTTGAACCAAAGGTGTCCCTTGTTCCCTGTCCATTCTGGGACATTAGAGACCTTCCCAATAACCTGCCTCTAACTGCCTGGACCTTCTCATTGCCCGTGACTGTTCTTGCTCTCCATTTAGCCACAGGCTTTCATTCATTATTTTGATAGCTACTTCTTACGCATCTCATCTGTGCACAAGACATAGTCTTTGTCCTCACAGGACTTACATTCTACAAGAGACTACAGATGAAGTATTATACACAGTGCTCTGTGGTTAGTTGTGGTGAATTCCTCTAAATGCATACTCACTGTGCGGGAGAGCTTGCAAGAGTGAGACTCTGCAACCTGAGAGCTCAGCAAAACCTTATTTTGGGAAATAACTTTTCAGCTCAGGCTGAAGGGTGAATAGAGTCAGCCAGAGCAAAGGGCAGGAGAAGCACTCCTTGTTTGTGTGCACACTGGGGACCTGGGTGGGTGGCTGGGGCATGGGAAATGCAGGAGAAGTGGCTCCAGGCTGCCCTGGGGAGATGGGAAATGGACCACTCATACAGTGCCATGCTGAGGATTTTGGATTTTATTCCGAGAGGCAGAAGTTAAAAAGTTGAAATGCATTGAAAGGTTTATAAACAAGACAGTGACATGATCGGGTTTCAGGTTTCTAAAGCATTGCTTTGGTTCCTGCTTTGAACAGGGCTAAGAAAAGATCTGTAAGATTAATTAACTGGCTACTACAGTCGTTTTAAGAGAAAGATGATGGTGGCTTGGGAAAGAGTGATTTTTTTGATATATTCAGAAGTGCATTAGTGGAGATTTGGAGCCTGATTGGGTCTGGAAAGGAAGGATTTGAAGATGAGCACTTAGCATGGCCATGTCTAGGAGTATTTCCCCCATTTCAGAACTTTTCCTGGTTGTGGAAATGACAGTATTCATCACCATAGTAACAAGTACACATTTTTTCACATGAAGAGTATTCTTCGCAGTTAGATAGACTTCAGCTTCAGGAGAACAGAACAGAGTGTTTACAAAGTTTGAATTAACATAAGGGGTAGGGCGGGGATCAGAATAGCACACAGGATATCAGAATGTTATCTACACTGGCTCCATTCTATTGAGGTATGACCGCTAGGCTACAAAGCTGCGTTTTTGCTGTGTGAGAGAGAGCACAACCTCCTCTTCACAGTACTGCTGAGAGTCACAGAAATCAGTGGGAGAAGGTAAGCTCTTAGTTCTAATTTTTCATTTTTCTTCATTTAAGAAACGATTCAGCTCTTGTCTCTCTTCAGCGTCACTTACAATGATGAAAGTCAAGAGAAGAGCAAATTCTACTCCGTGTCATTGAAAGTCATAACCTTTACCACCTAAAACATACAACTTGCTCAGAGAGTACGTCTAAGCAGGTCCTAGAAGCTGCCACCTTATCGCTCTGTCACTATGGTGAGAGGAGCCACATGGAACAAGGTCAATATGAACACGTTGATAGCAGCTTCTTACTCCAAACACTGTGTGTTAAACCATTCTCACATGGCTATAAAGAAATACTTGGGACTAGGTCATGTATAAAGAAGAGAGGTTTAATTGGTTCATGGTTCTGCAGGCTGTACAAGAAGTAGAATACAGGCGTCCGCTGCTGGGGAGGCCTCAAGAAGCTTCCAATCACGGCAGAAGTTGAAGGGGGACCAAGCATCTCATGTGGCGGAACAAGAGAGAGAGAAGTTGCTACCCACCTTTAAACAACCAGCTCTCACCAGAATTCGCTCACTATTGCGAGGACAGCACCAACGAGTCGGTGCTAAACCATTCATGAGGGATCAGCCCCCACGATTCAATCAGCTCTCACCGGGCCCCACCCCCAACACTGGAGATTACATTTCAACATTAGATTGGGTTGGGGACATGAATCCAAGCTATATCACACTCCAATGATACCTTAAATCATGTAATATATATATTAACTCAGCGAGTGTTTATTGAACAAATTATAGGCATGTGAAAATTTATGAAACAGTGTCTAGCATATATGACTGAAGCTTCCAAGAGGAAATAATAAGAACCACACTATAGGAACTCTGCTGGAGCTGTCCAGGAAAAAGGAGAATAAAAATAAAGATAGCTGTACCTATTGGATCTTTCCCTAAAGCAGTGGCAGCATGAGGGGGAGTCCAGAGAAAAACCCATGAGTCCTAAACCGTGAGATATTGGAAACCCCAGCCTCAGCGTCTTCATCTGAAAACTGCTCATTGGATTTCCAGAGACACTTCAAGTTCCCTTCCATATTTTACTGGGATTTCGTATTTTACTGTGAGGTGTGTCTTTTTCTCATATGACATATTAGGGCTCACACACTGCGAGGAATCTGCTTCACTGAAAGGCAAAATTGCTTTGGACTCTGGCCTAACCCCTCCCCTTCAGGGAAGTATCCAGCAAAGATTTCACAATAAATGAGATCACACTGTTCAAAGAGACAAAGTATTGCTTCTTTCTATAATATGTAAACAAAATATCCTCTGGATATTGCTTAGAAACAATGATTTAAATTTTAGGTCTTCCCAAACAATCTGTTTGCAAGAATGCACATGATACAAAGATGTTGATAGCGGCACGGAAAAATTCTGTCAGTCCTAAAGACATTGCTGACACAGCCAGAGTCAACCCCGGAGGCACACTATAAACTCCCATCAACTATGAAAAACAGAACTCCTCATGAACAATGCAGAACGAACGAACGGGTACTCCTCGGCTGTCAAACCTGGGGAGTGGCCCCGTGTGACCTAACCTCCTGGTAGGGCAGGGACCAGCCTAGGAAAATTGCATCTGGGACACCCACCTCCTGAGAGAATACCCTGGTGTAATGGATTCTTGGAGAAAGTTTCCAAAAATGAGTCAGAGGAAAGCATTTCTGATTTTTTCCATTCCCCAGCAGTGTTTTGGCGTTAACTTTTCCTCATTTACTCCACATGCCCAAACCCCAAGACTGATTGTCATGACATCATGCTAAATTAGCCTCTCATTTGAAGCGACCGCTTTCTGTGATTTGAAGATTGGGAGGAAGCAAAGCAAAACCTAATATTTCAGTGGCTATATGTAGGCCAGGACTAGCTCCCACTGTTGGCCCATCTACCTCTAGGACTGAATCTTATCTGATCATTTCCATGGCAACAGCTGTGGGATTGGAATAGGATGAAGGTTTAGGAAGAGTTGCTGGAATTCAGTACTAGACGAGTGAGGATTATTTAACTACACACTTGTGTTGCCATGGAAACGCAAATTTACAAATCAGGCAGGATTTTTGTAGCTCAGCAGCACAGTATTATATTCTTAGGCCTGCTTCAAATCTCCCTGTTCCATTTCCTCTCTCACTGGGGGGAGATATCCCACCAGATACAATTTAATTATTCCCCAAATACTTTCTATTTTAATGTTTAAGGCAGAAATATGGATAGGCTAGGACCAAGACCAAAGTGATTATTCTAAAATGCTTTTCAGTTTTATTTTTTAAAAGCAAAATGCTGTTTAATCTAAAGAAAGAGAATTTCAAACATGTGATAGGAAACATATTCATACAAGAGTCAATTAAGACCCATCTAAATCCAAACCAAAATTACCCTAATTTGAAAAGAATGATATCTAATTCTTGTAGGGTAAGTCCTGCCTAGACTTTGAATTCATTTTATAGCAAGTTCATGTCAGGGAATCAGAAATACTTCATCTGTAACCACTGTTTTAGGATTTATAAGCCACTTCGATTTCACAATAAGCTTATGGGTATGGAAGAGCAGGGGTCAAGACGAGCATTTAGAGACAAAGAATTGTGGTCCAAAGTGGTTGTGTGGCTTGCCTGAGACCAGGCAGTCTTTACACATGTACGATCTTTTTTTTTTTTTTTTTTCCAGCTCTTTGGTCTGTTAATGGAAATACCTATTAGAACTCCAGCGAGTATTTTATTTAACTCCTTATAATGTTACTAACAGAATTCCTCAGAAATGAACTTTTAGAAATACTCACCAGTCCTTTCTTCCCCAAATCCCCGTGTTCTTGGAGGAGTGATGTCTTGCAGCATGTTCTTTGGCCTAGGAAGACCTATGATGGCTCTTGTCTCCTATTTTTGAAGGAGTTGGGGGTGGGCATCAGTATTACAGCATGTCTTAGAACACACTTGTGGCAGGGCGCGGTGGCTCATGTCTGTAATCTCAGCATTTTGGGAGGCCGAGGAGGGCGGATCACCATGTCAGGAGTTTGAGACCAGCCTGACTAACAAGGTGAAACCCCGTCTCTACTAAAAATACAAAAATTAGCCAGGCGTGGTGGCGCATGCCTGTAACCCCAGCTACTCAGGAGGCTGAGGCAGGAAAATCGCTTGAACCCGGGAAGCGAAGGTTGCAGTGAGCCAAGATCACGCCATTGCACTCCAGCCTAGCGACACAGCAAGACTCTGTCTCAAAAAAAAAAAAAAAAAAAAAAAGAACACACTTGTACGGGACCACTTAAATGTGCCAGAAATCAGCATACTACAGAAAACTGAGCTCAGAACCACTCCCACTCCAGGGGGGAAGCAGGTTGGACCCACCTTCCAGGCACTGAGAGGAAGTCCAGCGCAGCAGCCAGGGTGAGTATCAAGGCAGCACCTGGAACAGGAGCTGGCGTCGCGTGTCTGACAGGGGTGGAGGAGTTCTGACAGGGACTGTTTCAATACCCAGATTTCTGCAGGGAGAGCTAGGAGGTGGGGAAGAGCTGTGAGGATTGGGAGATGTAGTGGAGCTGCTCAGTACATCACTGGGATGCAGCTATGGCAGAGGCTGGGGACATGAGGAAGGGTACTGTGCTGAGACCCTCACTGGGTTCTAGGTCGGGGGGACCAGCCACTCAAGGGAATTTATGTTGAGTCCTGGAGCACTGGGCCGGGACTCTTAAGGACTGGGTGCTGCTCACAGAGCAGGGTTGGACATGGTCCAGCTGTGGAAAGAAAGGAATTTGTAAAGGCTGGGCTGAGAAATGGCCACACCAGTGCACCACACATCCCAGCGGAGTAGAGCCCAGAGGAAAGTCAGACTTTCCTGAGACCGATATCTAGTTCCACCTGCCGCTAGAAATGCAATGTCAGGCCAGTTAATTCATTTCTCTAAGCCTCTGTTTTCTCCTCTGTAAAACGGGGGACAATTGCAGTCTATTATAGAGTTTGTCACCCTAGTCTAATCCAAAACTTTTGTTTTACAGCTGAGGAAATGCATGTCTAGCAAAATTAAGTGCTGTCCCTCACCCATGGACCCTCCACCCCAACCTCATCCCAGCTTGTTAGTGTCAGAACTGATCTTCAAACCTGCATGTTAAGAATGGAGGTGGGAGCTAAATTTGATCCAAAGTTTAAAGACAGGGAATATTTTCGCTTCATCTGATGTCACTTCTGGGCAACTGATAATGTTAACAATGTATCAAAACTCCATCTAGCCAGTGCTATAAGTCTGACCCTGGAAGAAGTGGCTATATGTAGGCCAGGACTTAGCTCCCACCGTTGACCCATCTACCTCTAGGTAGACGAATGAGGATAGAGTCAGGGCCACTTACACAAGCCTGAGGGTAAGACAACGGCCTGATTCTGGCAGTGTCTGTGTGGTCAGCCTTAGGCCAGCTTGGATTTTTCTATTCCATATAAGGCTTTTCCTAAGAGTAACAACCATCTCAGAAAATTTCCAGTCTACAATGTGAAATTATCAACTATAGTTCTAATTCTGTACCTTAAATCTCTAAACTTATTCATCCTACATAACTGCAATTTTGAACCCTTTGGCCATCACCTCCCCAACTCCCCCACTTTTCTATCTCCCAAGCCACTGGTAACTAACTACCTTTCTACTCTTTGCTTCTAGGAATTCCACTTTTTTTTTTTTTTTTTTTTTTTTTTTGAGATGGATTGAGATGGAGTCTCACTCTGTCACCTAGGCTGGAGTACAGTGGCATGATCTCGGCTCACTGCGAGCTTTGCCTTCCGGGATCACGCCATTCTCCTGCCTCAGCCTCCTGAGTAGTTGGGACTATAGGCGCCCGCCACCAGGCCCAGCTAATTTTTTTGTATTTTTAGTAGAGATGGGGTTTCACCATGTTAGCCAGGCTGATCTTGATCTCCTGACCTTGTGATCCGCCCTCCTTGGTCTTCCAAAGTGCTGGGATTACAGGTGTGAGCTACTGTGCCCGGCCTGGAATTCCACTTCTTTAGATTCCACATATTAGTGAAGTTCTGCAGTATTTGTCTTTCTGTGTCTGGCTTATTTCACTTAACATAATGTCCTCCAGGTTCATCAATGTTATAAATGGTAGGATTCCCTTCTTTTCATGGCTGAATAATATTTTCTTATATATGGAATATATATATTACCATATATATTACTACATATACATAAAACCACACACACACATGGGCATATGTATATATATTATATATATATAATTTCCAGCATTTTTAAGAGAGTAGATTTCAGGTGCTCTCATCACCCACAAAAAAATATGAGGAGACAGATATGTTAATTTGCTTGACTATAGTAATATATTATGTGTATATGAATTTTTAATATATATCAAAAAATTGTGTTGTAGACTTTAGAAGCGTTGTTGTGAATCATATGTTTATTTCATGGTGCTTAAGAAACACAAAGAATTTTAGTCGTTTTGAAATATCTTTTCATTGCGGCATTTTGTTTGTATGTTTGTTTACAGCAGAGATTCTCCAAGTGTGGTCCACAGATCCTAGAGGTCCCCAGGAGACTTTTAAGGGTTCTGTGAGGTTAAAATCGTTTTTGTAATAACATGAAGATATTGTTTGAATTTTTGCCATAAAATTTCTACTGATGGGCAAGAAAGAAATGGTGGTTAAAACTGCTGGCAATTTTGCAAGAATCAGAGCGATGGCACCAAACTGTATTAGTCTAAGTTAGTGTGTTCTTAACCATCATGTACTTGCATTATAAAATAAAATAAGTTTCACTTAAAGATCATGTTGTACTCCTTAAATATATACAGCGTTAATCAAAAACATTTTAAAAGGGTATGCAGAAAAAAAGGAACAACTTGCATCACAGCTGAAACCACACCCCGTTTAGTTATATCAGAGCATCTGCAAGAGAATCAAAGATGCCCTACATTACAGGGGTCCCCAACCCCCGGGCCGCAGACCAGTACTCGTCCTTGGCCTGTTAGGAACCAGGCTGCACAGCAGGAGGTGAGCAGCAGGCCGGTGAACATTACCTCCTGAGCTCTGCCTCCCATCAGATCAGCAGCAGTATCAGATTCTCATATGAGCATGAACCCTATTGTGAACTGCGCACGCGAGGGATGTCGGCTGCATGCTCCCTGATGATCTGAGATGGAACAGTTTCATTCTGAAACTGTTCACCCCTCCCACACCCCCACCCCTGGTCCATGAAAAAAAAAATTGTCTTCCACGAAACTGGTCCTTGGTGCCGAAAAGGTTGGGGGTTGCTGCTCCACAATATTATTCTAGCCATCTTTTTATTGGTTTCCTATAAACTCAAAAATAGCCATTTAGTATTATCCTCACCTCTATGCTCCTCTGCACCCGTCTATACACAAATACTCAAAACCTCACACGTGGCTCACATTACCTTCTGCCACTATCATCCCCGCCAGCTGCTTAAGTTGATGCAGGAGTTGTCAGAAGTTAAGTGACTTTCCTCAAGGTTAAGCAGGAATATGCAAAGGAAGAGCTGGGACCATCAGTCTCTGACTAGAGAATCATAAAGTCAGAACGTGAGCTGACATGGCCTTTACTTGGACAGGGCCACTTGCATATCGATTGCGTCTCTGGCACAAGTCATGGAGACCTGGCTGCCAGGAAGGAAAACTGCAGAGAACAGAGCAGAACAATACTCTTCTATGGAGAGGGTGAGTTGCTGACAGCGTCCGTACAATACTTCAGCCTGGGTAATGTGTTGAGTGTGGTCAAGGCTGTAGTCAGAGAGAGGGTGGAACTTGTTCTAAGCCAAGGTAGCTTTTGGAATACATACTGGCTCTCTCATCCCCCAACAACGGGATTACATAGGAGACACTATTTTTCAGGGCAATCTAGTCACATTTATCAACATTCAAAAACACATGGTTTTTAACCCATGAATGCTTCCTTGTAATTACACACCAATACACAAAGATATTCATTGTAGTATAGTTTGTAATAGTAAAACATATAAAACAAAACCTATCCACATTTGAAGACAACCTAAATATCTCTTAATAGAGAATCAATGATATAACTATGTCACAAAGAGTCAACGAATGCCACGCTGCTACTAAATAGATGTGATTGGTCTATATATGCAAACATGAAAAGATTTCCAAAATACAGCACTAAAGGAGACAAATGAAATGCAGAATAGCATGTGGTCCAATTTGTGTAAAAATATAGGCACCATATGGACATGGGCTATGAATGTGTAAACAATTTCTAAAGCAATCCATGAGAAACCGTTGACAGCAGTTACATTTGGAGAGTGGGACAGCAGTTTATAGAGCAGTGGGAAGCATTTATTTCTGATTTTACACTTTTTATTATAATTTTTGCACTGTGCTCATACATTACTTATTAATAAAAATCATTGTATTAGATGAAATGGAAGGGAAGGAATTGAATTGGTGCAGCAGGCCAACAGAAGGTTGGGGAGGGAAGAAAAATAAAAGAAGAAAGGTAAAGAGAAATGAACTACTTTAATTAGCAGGAGTGAAATCTTTATAGAATCTTTCAAAACATTTTTAACAGCTTTGTTGACATATAATTTACATCCCATAAAATTCCATACCATTTAAAGTATAGAATTTCATGGTTTTAAAGTATATTTATAAAATTATGCAATTATCACTATAATCTAATTTTACAACAGTTTCATCACTTCAAAAGAAACCTCTTATACATGAGCAGTCACTCCTCATTCCCCACCTTCTTCACTCCTACCCCTAGGAAACCACTCTCTTGCTTTCTATTCCTGAAGATGCCTATTCTGAACATTTCATATAAGTGGAATCAAACAGTGTGTGGCCTTTTGTGACTGGCTTCTTTCATATAGCACAATGTTTTCAAGATTCATCCGTGTTGTGGCATGTATCAGTATTTCATTCCTTTTTATTGCCAAATAATATTCCATCACATAGATATACCATCTTTTATTTTCCCATTCATCAGTGGATGGACATTTGGGTTGATTTCATTTTTGAACTATTATGAATAATGCTGCTATGAACATTCATGTAATATTTTTGTGTGGATGTGTGTTTTCATTTCTCTTGGATAGATAACTAGGAATAGCTAGACAGTAATAGGTAGATATGGGTGTGTGTGTGTGTATATATATATTTTTTTGAGATGGAGTTTTGCTCTTATTGCCCAGGCTTGGGTGCAGTGGTGCAATCTTGGCTAACTGTAACCTCCGCCTTCCGGTTTCAAGCGATTCTCCTGCCTCAGCCTCCCAAGTCTCTAGGATTACAGGTGCCAGCAACCACACCCAGCTAATTTTCTTGTAATTTTAGTAGAGACGGGGTTTCACCATGTTGGTCAGGCTGGTCTCGAACTGCTGACCTCGTGATCCACCCACCTCGACCTCCCAAAGTGCTGGGATTACAGGCATGAGCCACCACGGCCGGCCCGGTATGTGTCTATATTTTTAAGAAACAGCCACGCTATTTTCCAAAGTGAATGTGCCATGTTATATTTCTACCAGCAGTGTATATAAGACCTCCAGTTCTTTTCATGTGTTTTCTGGCCATTTATACATCTTCTTTAGTGAAATGTTTATTCAGATCTTTTGCACATTTTTAAAATGGGTTAGTTATGTTTTTATTATTGAGTTGTAAAAGCGGGTGTGTGTGTGTTCAGCATATGATTCTTATCAGATATTTGTATCTTGTATAATCTATAAGTATTTTTTCCCATTCTATGAACTGTCTTTTCACTTTCTTAATGTCATTGTTTCAAGGAAAAAAAAAAGCCTTTCAATTTTGACGAAGTTTGATGTATCTATTCTTTTCTTTATCATTTGTACTATTGGTGCAATATCTTTAAAATGTGCCAACTTAAGGTCACAAATATTTATGCCTATGCTTCCTTCTAAGAGTTTTACAATTTTTACCTTTTACATTTTGCCTTATGATCTCCTTTGAGTTAATTTGTGTGTACAGGGTGGGGTTGGAGTCTAACTTCATTCTTTTGCATGGATATCCAGTTGTGTTAGCATCATTTTCTGACAAGACTATTTTTCCTCCATTAATTTTTTTGGCATCATTGTCAAAAATCCATTGACAATAAATCTAAGGGTTTATTTCTGGACTCACAATTCTATTGCATTGATCTCTATGTCTATTCTTATGCTAATATCACTACTTTGATTACTATGGCTCTGTAATAAGTTTCAAAATTGGGAAATGTGAGTCCTTCCATTTTATTATTCTTTTTAAAGATCATTTTGGATAGTCTAGGTTTCTTGAATTTTCCTATAAATTTTGCTATTGTCTTGTCAATTTATTCAAAAATGCAGGCAGCGCTGGGCATGGCAGGACTGGACACAGGATGATGCCTGTAATCCTAGCACTTTAGGAGGTAGAGGCAGAAATATCACTTGAGGCCAGGAGTTCACGACCAACCTGAGCAACATAGCAAGACCCTATCTACAAAAAAAAGTTTGAAATTTAGTCAGGTGTGGTGGCATGCCTGTAGTCCCAGCTACTCAAGAGGTTGAGGTGGTAGGATTACTTGAGCCCAGTAGTTTGAGGCTGCAATAAATCATGATTGTGCCACTATACTTCAGCCTGGGCAACAGAGTGAGACCCTGTCTCAAAACAAAAATGCAGGCATGATTTTGATAGAAATTTTATTGAATCTTTACAGCAATTTGACACGTGTTGACACCTTAAATCTTCTGATCCATAAACATAGAATGTTTTTCCATTTATTTAAGTTTTCTTTAATTTTTAGAGCAATATTTGTAATGTCAGAGTGTTAAATTTTTCATTTCTTTTGTTAAATTTATATATAAATATCTTATTCTATTGATGCCTTATAGATGGAATTTTCTTAATTTCATTTTCTTTTTGTTTATTGCAAGAGTATAGACATAAAATGGGTTTTTGTGTACTTTGCTTATAGACAGCAAATGTGCTGATTTCATTTATTAGTTCTAATGGTTTTCAAAATACATTTCTTAGAATTTTTTATATATTAGATTATATCATCTGCAAATAAAAATGTTTTGCTCCTTTCCCAATCTGTGGGACTTTTATTTCATCTTCTTGCTTAATTGCCCTTGCTAGAACTTTAGTATAATGTTGAATATACTTTTGAATATTGAATATTGAATGTTAAATATAATGTTGAATATTTGCTGAGGGCAAATATTCTTGTCTTGTTCGTGATCTTGCACAGGGGGGTACTATCCCACCTTTCAACATTAAGTATGCTATTGTGGGATTTTTGTAGATTCCTATTATCAGGTTGAGAAAGTTCTCTTACATTCCCAGTTTATTGAGTGTTATCATAATTAAGGAGTATTTAATTTTGTCAAATGCTTTTATTACATCCATTCAGATAATTAGGTAGATTTTGTCCTTTATTGATCTGATGTATTACATTAATTAATTTTCAGACATTAAGCCAACTTTTCATTTTGGAGATAAATTTCACTTGGTTGTGGTATATAATCCTTTTAATATGCTATTAGATTCTGTTTACCACTGTTTTGCTGAGGCTTTCTACATCTATATTTATAAGAGATAGTGTTCTGTAGCTTTCTTTTCCGATGATATCATTGCCTGGTTTTAGTAGCAGGGTAAGAGTGGCCTCATCATGTGACTTGGGATGTTTCTCCTCCTCTTGTACTTTTGAAAGAGTTGATGAAGAATTGGTATTAATTATTTTTAGTTTAACAGAATTCACTGGTAAAACCATTTGTGCTTGGGATTTTCTCTGTGGGGTTTTTTTGGTTGTTGTTACTAATTCAACTCTTCCTTGTTACAGGTCTATTCAAATTTTCTATTTCTTTTTGAGTCAGTTTCAGCAGTCTGTGTCTTTCTAGGAATTCTTCTGTTATTAAATCTGTTGGCATAAAGTTCACAGCATTCCATTATAATCTTTTTGTTTTACTTCTATAAGGTCAGTTGTGTTGTTCCCCTCTTTCATTCCTGATTTTAGTATAGAATTGTTATAGATAATTGTTTTTATTTTGAAGGTGAAATACTAATTAAATGGGATTTAAAAAGTAAGGAGGAAAGAAGACTGGAGATACAAAATAATTCTCTTTCCTAAATCTATGTTGCACATATAGAAATGACATCCTCTAGTTTTCTCTAATGTGATGTCCAAACTCTACATATGTAAGAACGAGGGGGTTAATGCTCCAAACTTTAAGAAAATATAAAATTGAGGAAGTTTTGTTCACAGCCAGGTATATAAGAATTGCTAAGGAAGAAGCCACTTAAGAATGGGTATAGCATTTAGATTAGAAGGTTTTATTTACCTATTAAAAGGCAGGAGAGTTATAAAAGTCATCTAATTGCAGGAAGGCAGAGAAGAAGGAATCTTATTACAGACATTTGGCAGAGCGAACACTAATGGCAGGTAGAATCTCTCAAGTTCTCATAGTTTTGCAAAGTCTTGTGAAGAAAGCTGAGGAACATAGATAAATCTTTTTAATGAAACTACTATCATGAACAGAGAAGTTTTGCAATTCCGGAGGTAGAGACTGAGAATACTTCTTAAGTAGCACAGAAGCTCTGATTTAAAGGTCTATTATGAATAGTTTGCAACACGGAATTTCATGCAATGCTGAGTGGGATGTGAAGGCAGCTTGCAACTATTTGGTAAAAGAAGCCAGTGTAACCCAGACATAATCAGGGTTGAGACATTTCCCTGGCTAGTACTCAGCAACAGCCTGCTCGTGCCCTAGTGAACACTGATCATTAAAGCCAAGCCCAGGCTGCAGTGATGTCTACAGGCAGCTTGCTATGAGCAGGTCACACCATATAACAGAATAGACTTCATCTCTTAACAGCCTATTTTTTTCTCAACTAAACATGTTGGATATTACTATAATCTTCAAGAATCACCCCCCCACAACCCCATATACTCAAGTGAACATTGCAGTCAATGTGTCAGTGTCTAGACCCTTCCATCTTGATTTACAGCTGCACTTAAGTACTGACAATACATGTTCAGCGGCAGATTCCATGGCAATCAGCATTAACCAGAAGATGCCTCTACAAGACCTGGTATAGGGAAATTCTTTCTGAGTGATCTCTTCTTGGTGATACTTGGAAAAACAAAACAAAATATGACAAAAACCAAACAATATAGATTTCCTTTTCTTTATGGATTCCCTGTTCTGTTTTCTTTGATCAGCCACCATTGATCTTCCTTATAAGTAAAAACACTCTAAGTGTGCCGATGAGGAGAGCTTTGGACTCCCCTTTGTATTTGGTTTAGTTTGGTACAATATCACTGTTGATTGTTTCTAAAGATGTAGTGGGCTATCAGGGTTGGGGGGAAGAATGGGGGAGTACAAAATTTCAGTTAGACAGGAGTAATAAGTTCAAGAGACTGATTATACAACATGTCGACTACAGTTACTCACATTGCATTATATTCTTGAAAAATGCCAGAAGAGCAGAGTTTAAGTGTTCTCACCATAAAAAAATAAGTATGTGAGGCAATACATATGTTAATTAGCTCAAGTTACTACTCCACAATGTGCACATATTTCAAAACATCATGTTGTGACTGATATCTACAATGTTTGTAAATTAAAAAATAAATTAAAACAAAAATATGTAGTTGGATAGGTTGAGTGCCCACCAATTCACTGCAGAGCCTCAGACAGATGCCACCATATTTTTCAGACAACAGTCTTCACCAGAGACTTAGTGCAGGGTTTTACCAGCAAACGTGAATGATTGCTGTTGCCTTGAATATTAGAGAGACAGAGAGGATGATCCAGAGAGCATTAGCTAGACCCCCTAGGGAGTCTTCAGGATAGTTTTCTGCTTTTTCCAATAGTGAATCCTTACTCTTTTGTCTCTGTCTCTTTGTATCTCTCTCTCTCTCTTTCTCTCTCTCTCTCTCTCTCTCCTCTCTCTCTCTGTCTTTTTCTCTCTCCCTCTCTTTGTCTCTGTTCCTCTCTCAGAAATCAAGGTAGGGAGATTGACATCTGCTATGGGTTGAGTTGTGTTCTGTATATTGGAAGTTCTCATCCCTAGTACCTGAGAAAGTGATCTCATTTGGAAATAGGGTCATTGCAGATGTGATTACTTAAGATGAGGCCATTAGGGTAGTCCCTAATCCAATATAGTGTGTCCTTATAAAAGGAGAAATTTGGTCACGGAGACAGACTTGGATAGAGGAAATTTGTTGTAAAGAAACACAAGACCGCTATCTACAAGCCAGGGAGGGAGACCTGGAATGAATTCTTTCCTTATAACCCTCAGAAAGAGTTGAGCTGCCAATATCTTGATTTTGAACTTCTAGTCTCTAGGACTGCAAGATAATACATATCTCTTTTCTAAGCTATCCAGGTGTGGTACTTTGTTATGGCAACCCTAGCAAACAAATGAAGTGTATTTATGCTTTATATTCCTTGCTGCCTTTGTATCTCACAGGTGGTGGGAAAGGAAAGAGTTAAAGGAGCTAGCTCTCCTGAAAAGGACTTTTCTTCTGGGAGAGTAGTAAGTAGTTTGAATGCCAACTACTATTTTCCATATTAAATGAATGCATATTGTCTCTTGCTCCACAGCTCAATGAAGATTGAAGTTTCATTTTTGAACCATGAGATCTAATTTCTGATTATCCCAAAGTATACACTTACAGCCTACCAGCCCCATGAAATACTCCACTGAAAAGGAAAACAATGATTCCACGGTCAAATAATCTTAGGAAACGCTGCATGTTTTATATACATCATGGAAATTGAAGACTCTGAGAAGTCCTGCCTCAAAGAAACCTGCTCAGCTTTGTTTAATTCAGCATTTCCCAGTCACATTTAGGTCCAAGTCCAGGCTAAAGAGCCCCTTTCCCTGTGCTAACAGGACAAAGAGATGACCAGGACAGAAGGTTCACAGCAGACTATAAAGATGGAAATTTGGAAAGGGGAGGTGAACCCATTTCTCACATAAAAGTTTCATTTCATTTCAATAATTTTCCCAAAGAAGCAAGACTTGAGGATCCTGTGGGTAGATGGCTGTCTTCCAATATTCCTATCCTAAATGTTCCTTGATTAATAAACCCATGATCTTCTCCCTGCATGGAGCCTGCTGAGCTCTGAACTCTTAAATGGTATTTCTATCATCATCTTCACAGAGATAGTTCCTAAACTAAAGATTACAAAGTTTTTGGAACCCAAGTCAAGCCTTTTGCATCCCTCGGTTGGTTGAACATGCTGTGTCTAGGGGCTCTTTGGCAATCTGTTACAGAGAAATCCATTAAAATGCCAGTCAACTTATCTCTTGGCTGAAGCTATCCATTGTGATGTGTCTGAGTTCTAGGGGAGGAATTCTTTAGTCTAGACCTAAAAGAATTAAAGCATTGAGTTTGGAGTGTTGCCTCATGAAAGGTCAAAGGAATTTCTTTCCATATATGTGGCATCGCACTATCACCTGCTAGAGATTTAGACCAGGAAATAGACAGACTGCAGCCCGCTGGTACCTTCATTTTTGGTCATTTTTCCTTTGATGCAGAGTAGTTCAAGGACCATGTCTTATATTTCCCCTTTGCCCTGATAGTGCTTACTTAACACACTGTTATAGCCAGTGTGCAGGCTCAAAATTACAGAATCATAGGCTGCAAAGGTGATGTTTGAGAGAATCTATTGTGTGGGGGGGTCTGCTTATGGATGCTTAACACCATATTTGATATATTATTAGTTAGGTCTCCTTGACTCCATGACTAGTCATGCTATGAGTTACTTACTCTTAGCCCCTGTGATTTCAGCTCAGTTCTTTAACATTCATTCTCCAAGCATTACACCACATGCTTCCACTGAAAAGATGAATGAGGCACAGACTTTTCCCTCATGAGGCTTGTTCCTTCATGAAAAAGAAAAATGACCATACATTGTGCATGACACAGGTAAGTACAGGACATCGGTTGCACAGTGAAGAAACCAATAACTAAGACATGGAGGGCTTAGGAGGCTTTTCAGGGGAAGCGACGCAATACCCAGGAAGAATCCTGAAGGATATATAGGAGTTTCAATGCTAAGAAGAGGGGAAAGGCACTTCATGAGGAGAGGACTGTGTGAGTGAAGGCTTAAAAGCATGAAACCACATGAGGCAATGGAGGACCTGTGTGTCATCTGGGTGCCGCAGAGCCTAAACTACAAAGACAACAGCATTCGTTGGGGGATAAGGGGTGATAAATAGTTTTTCACTTTGGCCATTTCTGCAAAGGCAACTGGTTGAAACATGAGTTTACCCCTCTGTCTGTTGATAGGGCTGTTGCAGGTGTTAAGCCCCAGTATACAATAAGCACTCTTCAGCTGTTTGTCACTATAGTTTTTATTAATTTTAAGACTTTCACTCATGAATTTTCTTAGACACTTCTTTAGGAAATAGGACTCTGAAACTGTCTGCCTGGATACTATTTTTTTTTAAACCCTTGCCAACATAAGTTCATTCTGTGTAAATGCTTTTATTTTCTTCCTTTAAAAGGTATGTAAGCATCCAAACGGTGAAAGCATTTAAGCAAAACTATACTTTTGTCAAGATTGACGAATAGTGATTCAGGCAGGAGAGAGGTCTGATTAAAGCATCTCTCTGATCAGTCATTTGATTCCTAGGCTTGCATAAAGATGCATGTTTTTTAGCAAGAGAGGGGGAGAAATCAGGAAAACATAGATGTATCAGTAAGTGCTGTAGTTATTCTCCAATGAGGAGGTGAATAAAGCCCAAGCTTCTGAGTCAGATCGTCTCAAGTTCAAGCCCCAGCTCTGCCACTGATGAACTAAGGGAGTTTGGATGAGTCAGCTGAGATCTCTGAGCTTCCTTGTCCTCATTGGTAAAATGAGGCTAAAGCTACTAGTGTTGTTCTGAGAATTAAATAAGATAATGCATCTAAAGCACCTAGCATTTGTCTAAAGGAATAATAGTTATTATCATCGGTAGTATTACATAACTTGTCTCTGTCAATATGGAGTAAATTAACCAGAATCTAGAGCTTTGGGGAAACAATATACCAAAACAAACAATATCTTGGAGAAACAATGGCAAAGGCCAGGAACAGGGTATGCCATTGTTAAAACCTGTCAGCCAATTAGTTTAGAGTCATCCTTTCTTGAGCATTTATTGAGCATCTACTACATGCTAGGTACTTTCTCAAATATTGGGGATGTAGAAATGAACAACAGGCAAAAATTACTGCTGTTGTAAATCTTACACTCTAGTGGGGAAAGAACAACAATAAAAACTTGAATTCAAGTAAAGCAAGTAGCATGCCAGATGGTGATAAGTAGTCTGCTGAAAAATAAAGCAAAGACTGGAGAATGTGCATGCTGGAGTTTGGAGGAGGGTTTATCATTTTCCACAGGGTGGTTACTGCCAAAAAGCTCCCTGCGGAGGTGATTTGGAATTTGTACCATTCACAGAATATCCTGCATGGGACCCAAAATGGCACCTGCAGCTCAGAGCAGAAATTAGAAGCCAGAAGGTGGATTTAGGTGACACTTCAAGCAACTTCCTTATAAGCTGCTCAGCTGCTCTTTCCCATTAGAGTCTTCGTGTGTACTGGAGTCAGTTCCTTTAGAACAGGGCACTGTCATGCACAAGCAATAAATGCCACCCACACATGTCAGACTTGGAGAGGTCCCTGCTGCCACCTGGAGCCCACTTGGAGAGGGAGTGTTTGGTAATTGAGGGTAAGGCTGCATTGCAAGGGAGCTGCCAGGTACCCCAAGTCACCGTTCTCCTGTTCCACAAAGTCCTGTGGAAGCAAGAGGTAGTATTCAGTGATGTATCCTCACAATAGGAATGGGAGAGTAACAAGACTCATCTCTGGTGAGAATTTTTCCCCCAGTGGAGCTCACCCTTTCTGGATGAAGATAAGGCAAATGGTAATGCCAGGGAGGTGACACTGTGGCCCCTTGCCTTTTGGGTTCACATGCAGAAGTGACTTCACCCAGTGAAAAAATGTCTTCATTCAAAACAGCTTTTTCTGCTCAAGCTATTAAGAGATAAAATGTTCCTTCAAGCTGTGATCTCAATGGGGATAAAAAACTTAGCAGAAATCTCTTCTCCTGAAATGGGTTAAATTTGGGCCATCAACAGGCCACACATTTCTTTTCTGTCTTCACTATGTGGAATTATCACTTATGATCTCCTACTAGGTGCCAAGTATAAACTGACACAGACGTCAACTAGGAATTCCTTTAACTACAAGTAGCGGAATACAGAGTTGCCAGTGATTTGAATGATAAATTCATTTAGTTATGTCACTGTAACTGTACAGCCTGGTGTGGGGCAGAGAAATGTTATCAAGAACCCTGACTCTTGTAGATCTCTGCCCTGCCATCTTTAACCTGTTGGGTTTCTCAGTTCTTATGCTTTTTGCCTCTTAGTCACTACGTCAATCAGCATTCATGGGAGGAAGAAGGAAAATGGGCAGCCCCGGCATCATCTGTCCTTTTGATCAGGAAAGCCAACATTTTCCTACAGGTACCCCAAGCAGACTTCTCCATATGTCTCATTGGCCAGAACTGGGGCCTCGCGGTCATTGATAGCTGTGAAGGAGGCTAAACTTTGGTTTAAAGTAGTGGGCTGCAAACCTGGATGAGCATGGGAATCAGCTGGAAGATTTGTTAGAACACAGGTTGTTGGGTCTCTCCCCAGACATTCCAATTTGTTGGGTCTGGGGCAGGGCTGAGAATCTGCATTTCTAGCAAATTCCCTGGTGATGCTTCTGCTGCTATTCCAGGGACCCACTTTGAGAACCACTGGTTTAAAGGAACTCTTTTATATTCTAATTGATACTCTCCTAAGCAGACTCTACTTTGCTTTTCCCTGAATTTTTGCAGGACACTTACTTGTATCTTCTGCCTTTCATTGCATACATCATTGCCACGTCTACTTTCCTAATTCTGTCCCTGATCATATTGTGTCTTTACTCAAAAACTGTCAGGGGGTGCTTAGTATTCTCTGGAATCTGAGGCTTTTCATGATTTAATACCAACATGCCTATGTTTCCAAATATTCAGTGTTAATCATCTATGTGTCATTTACATGCAGCCCTGAAAATATGACCTTGTGATGACTCAGTTGTATCAGACCAATCACCTTTCTGAGAATAATTATAAAAGCTGATTAAAATACAAAAAACCACTGTGTGAAAACATCACAAAGTAGCCAACACAGTCAGAACTTCAGAGGTCAAAATCCAAGAAAAAAAGGCGAAATGCATAGATAAATTCTTCCAACTATTTAAGGAATAAAGATCCCTAATGTGACACAAACTCTTCCAGAGAGTAGAAAAAGAGGGAGGAATTCATAACATAGTTTATGAAACCTGCATAACTTTGATATCAAGCCTAATAAGGGCACTATAAGACAGGAAAATTATTGCCAATATCTCTAATGAACGTAGGTGAAAATACTAAGTGAAAAAAACAAATTGAACCCATTAATATATATAAAGGGTAATACTCCACAACCAAGCAGGAATCCATGAATGCAAATATCTTAATATCTACCAACTTTACTCTTTAAGCCTTCATTTCCGCATCTAATAATTGTTTTATCTATTTTATAAGTAGAACTGTTGTAAGGCTTAATTGAGATAATACATGGAAAGAGCCTAGTATATTCCTCAACACATAGGAAGTATTCAATAAGATTGGCTAATAATGTTTTATTATTTCACATAAATGAGGTTCTACTATATAACATTGTGCTGCAAGATTATGTAGACTAACATTCAAGAGCAATCACAGCATGGTCCCAGCTACCTCTTCCAATAGTTTCTTCAACTTTCCTCTTTGTAGTTTACACGAATTTTTCCTTGAACATGCACTGCTTCTTTTTTTTTAATTGAAGGTCCCTGGCTGGTCCTGCTTACATGAGTGGCTGTGACCAGGGGAATAGGGAGAGGAATCAGCCAGCATGGGAAGGAGTCATCTCACAACATTCTATTTATATGCAGAACCAAACAGAGAAGCACAGAGTCACTATTGTGCTTAGAAGTTGGCAGCATGGGAAGGGGGAAACAGGTGGGGAGTGGGGATGTTGTTAAAAAAGCACAGCCCCCTCCTCAAACTGGGATGACTGGGGGAAATTGATCAGCTTCAACCCAAGAGGAATCAAGACCAAAAGTGGTTTGAGAAGGCCAGAACTGTCAGAGATGAAGGGAGGAGGAAACTCTAGTGGGTACAGGAGCTGTTTAGCAGACTCAGGGGCCCAGAAGATAAAAACCAGGTCCCTCTTTGTGCTCTCCTTGGTCTCCAGAGCTGCATCATAGAGGACATAGTGACAGTCCTTGTCTGGTTCCATCTTGAAAAGGTGGCATGGAGTCATCGACAGTCTGGCCCACATCACCCACCAAGATCTTGCCCCCTCCAGGATGATGTTCTTCCTGTCTTCCCTCAAGCAGAAGAGCACCTTCTCTTGCGCTTCTTCACCTCCTCTGGCATCAAAGACTTGCACCCCTTCATGTCATTAATCACCTTGTGATGCTGTCAGAGGCAACCACCCTGGAAGCCTTGTTTTTGGAAGTGAAAAGGGGATGGTAAGAAGAGCCAGGGAAGAGGAGAGCTGCTGCAGCTGCTGCTAGGATCTGACTACTGCACTGTTTTTGCTTGTTTTTGTTTTTCACATAAGAGCATCCTACCAAGCTGTGAACACTTTCATCAAAAAGAAGGACCACTTTGTTATTTAAAAGAGAACGGCCCAGTGATTGGATCAAGGTAGAAATGTAATAGATACTTGTTAAATAAGTAAATTAATACTCTTTTTGGGGCCTGGAATACCACCCAATGCCATCCTTTTCCTGTTAGCCCCTTCCCGATTCCCTAAACAAGATAAGAGCTTTCTCTTTGAACCATCCTAGGATTTCCCTTCCATTTCTGTCATGGCACTTGTCACATTTCACCTTATATTTTTATTACTTAGGTAATTCCCTGACTTATACTCAGAATGAGGAGCAGGCTATAGAACAGTGATCACAACTACCTTCAAATAATAATATTTTACTCACACACAACATAAGAAACAGTATGCTTTCATTCTTCCCTATCTTTTATCATTATTGTCATGCATTTTACTTTTATTTATGTTACAAAACCTACTGTTTATTTTGTTTTAAACATTTTATGCAGTTAAGAAATAAAATTAAATTTTAAATAAATTAAATGAAAAGTATTTTCTATTTAAATACATAGTTATTATTTTTGTGCTCCTTATTACTTTTAGATCCAAGTTTCCTTCCAGTATCATCATCTTTCAGCCTATAAAACTTCCTCTAACATTTATTTTAGTGCCATTCTGCTGGTGATAAATACTCTCTCTCTCTCTTTTTGGTTTGCAAATGTCTGTATTTTACCTTTATTTTTAAAGGATATTTTTTGCTAAATACAGAATTCGACATTGACTGTTTTCCTCAGCACTTTAAAGATAGTGTTCCATTATTTTCTGGTTTGTATAATTTCTAATGAAAATCTATAGTTTTCCTACCCTTGTTCTCCTCTAGGTAATGTATCAGGTTTTTTCTGGCTGTGTTTAATATTCTCTATCACTAGTTTTAGCCATTTGATCACGAGGTACCTTGGTATAACTTTCATTACAGTTATCCTGTTTGGAGATTATTGAGCTTCTTGCATCTGTGGATTTATTATTACTATTATTATTTTTTTTGAGATGGAGTCTCGCTCTGTCACCCAGGCTGGAGTGCAGTGGTGCAATCTCAGCTCACTGCAAGCTCTGCCTCCCAGGTTCACACCATTCTCCTGGCTCAGCCTCCCGAGTAGCTGGGACTACAGGCGCCTGCCACCACGCCCGGCTGATTTTTTGTATTTTTAGTAGAGACGGGGTTTCATCGTGTTAACCAGGATGGTCTTGATCTGCTGACCTCATGATCCACCCACCTCAGCCTCCCAAAGTGCTGGGATTACAGGCGTGAGCCACTGCGCCCAGCCGATTTATTATTTTTTAAATCAAATGTGAAAAACTTTCAACCATTTTATCTTCTTATATTTCCCCCCAATATCTATCTTTTCTCCTCCTGAGTATGTGTATGTTAAGGACTTGATATTGTCCCATAGGTTACCAAGTCTCTGCTCAGTGTTTAAGCCTTTTTTTTCCTATATGTGCTTCTGTTCAGACAGTTTCTGTTATATCTGCAAATTCACTGACTGGTCTTTTCTTCTGTAATCTCACTGTTTTCATTGCAGGTATTGTCTTTTTCTGGTCAAAACTTTTATTTTGTCCTGTTTTATAGTTTCCTTTTCTCTACTGAGATTCTCTATTTGTTCCTTCCCTTATTACATCCATATTTTCTTTCAAATTCCTGAACATGTTTAAGATACCTATTTTAAAGTCCTTGTTTGCTAGTTCCATTGTCTGTCATTTGGGTCTGTTTCTGTTAACTGATTTTTCTCTTGATTATAAATCACACATGCCTTCTTCTTCGCAAGTCTAGTAATTTTCTGTTTTATGCCAGACATTATGAATGCTACATTGATGAGTATCTGCATTCTGTTGTCTTAGTAATAGTCTGTGTCTTGTCTCATAGGCAGATAATTTACTTAGAGAGTAGCTTCTTCAAGGCTTGTTTTTAAACATTGTTAAGGTGAGTTGAGCACTAGCATAGCCTTTAGCTTAGGATAAATTAGCCCTACTCCTAAAGCCTGGCTTTGCTGAGACTTCTACTGAATGCTGGAGGTTTTCAAAACATTTATTCACCCTAGCTCTTTGGAACTTAAATGTCTACCATTCCTGTGAAAGCTCCAGTAGTGGCTAGGGTCACTGTTTTCCATTAGTTATATTTTCTTCTTAGTTCCTTGCCTTGTCTCATGGAGTCTTGCACTGTATATGCACAGTTTATTATTTGGCTAAAGACTTAGGGGCATTGCCAGATAGTTTTTGGAGCTTTTTCTCTGCACAGCTCCTTTCTCTTTGATACCCTGCCCTACAAATTCTTGCTGTCTCAGTAGCCCCAAATTCTGATCTCTGTCTCCTGAGTCAATGAGATTACTGCATTGTATTTGGGGCTCCTCTTCTCAAAGTCTTAGTATGGAAAATACCTCTAGGCAAAAATTCAAGGTGATAAAGGGGATTGCTTCACATTTTTTTTTCCCTCAAAGATCAGAGTCCTGTGTTGTCTATTATTTAACATCTGGAAAGAGTTATTTTTATTATTTTGTTCAATATTCTAGTTGTTTATGGTAGAGAGCTAATCCAGCACAAGTCACTAAATCACTGACAGAAATAGAGGTTATGGCATGCATTTTTAAAAGGCCATTCTGGCTGCTAGGTGAAGAATGGAAAAAAATATATATGAAAAGAGAAAATGAGTTGGCCAGGTAAGAGACTGCTGCAGCAATCCAGGTAAGAAATGATGAAGGTGTAGGCTATAGAAATTGAATTTTAATAGAGAGTTTATGAAATGGAGACTTGGCCATAAATATTCTTACTCTGATTTATTGGTTGTTTCTTTCACTTTGTATTCACAAACTTGAGCAATTTTTTGAAATTCTAAGAAGAAAATTTGAGAGATAACACATATGTTTAGTTTTATTCACATGAATATCATCTGTCTGTACACACATCAGCTGATTTTCAAGTGGACACTCAGAGATAAAATTTTCATTTTCATGAAATCTTTGGACAAATACAGTGAATGACATTTTGAAAACTGATTTCATCAACAACAATTGTAGCTATCTTCTTTTCTCTAAAACATCTTAGTATATACTAGTGTATAAGAAACAATTATTAATAGTGTGTCAAAAAAGAATTTTAATCTTCCTTTGAACTTCATCTAGAGTACACAATCACTAAGTTTATATGTTTTGTTAAATCTACTGTGTGCATGACCCTGTAGTAGGCGTTGTAGGAAGGTATGAATCAAAAGAAAAGGGATTGCTTCTGACTTGGAATAATTATACCATAATAAAAAAGACAGGATAGGCTCAAATTAACAGGAAGAAACTATGGTGGTTCTGGTTTATATTCAAGGTTGAAAATCACTGGACTATGCAAAAGGAGAAAGTAACAGAAAGCTGATAACAAGAGTCTCGGTGTCTGTGTCTAAACCAAAAAATTTAGTCAAGCATGGCATTCCCTGAGAATGGGTAAAGCAAGAATCAGTAGGCTCCCCGGGCTTCCAGAGCCTTTAATGGGGCAGACTGGTCACGTTAAGGTCAAGGCTCTGTATGGGTTGGGGTCCCATCAGGAAAGAGAAACACATTCAAATGGTGTAAGCTTAAAAGAGTTTACAGATGTGGGCAGGGGATAGGGAGATTTTAAAGGATGATGTGATATCTAGGGTGATGGTTGGGTCTTGTTACCATCCCTAGACTTGGAAAGGTAAGGGGGAGAGCAGTTACTGTGACAGAGAGGACTCCATGGAAAGGGCCGCCTCTCAGAGCTGTCACCTTCACCTGAGGGAAGCAGTCAGCCAATGACAACCCTAGGAAGTGAGCAGGGGAAGTGAACACCCTAGTCTCTCTCTCCTCCCTCCCTTCATCCAATCTCCTGTCAGTGTGCCCTCTTGGTCAGGCCTACTCAGGAGCCAGAGGGGAAGGGAGCCCATGCATGCAGTCCATGTGGATCGGCCTCCTAAAGCCCAGTGCAGCACGAAGAAGTGTAGACAGTAGACCTGAGAGGCAAGTACAAAATACCCAGCACAAGTCCTTTCCAACAGCCAGAACTAAGAGTCTCCCAAAGTCAGAGACAATGCGACTCCTTCACCCTCCAGGAAGGATCTTGAATACTGAAGGTGTTTGAGTGGAGAGAAAGTTGAGTCCACATAGTCTCCAAGCACTGTATGGTAGACATAACAGAGAGAACACTTACAAAGCAGCCCAGTGTGTTCTCTCATGTCCCAGCCACCCTGCTCCAGGGAGGCTACACCATGGAAAGAGGCTGGAATTTCAAAAAGCCAGTTGAAGGCAAGAAAAATGTCATTAAACATCTTTCAAAAGATGCCAGAGCGAGATGCCAAGCACTCTGTAGACTCCCCGGAGTCTATAATGGCCAAAGGAAGGCTATTTCTCCATTTCAGGAAAATGCAACAAGAACAGAAATAGCAAGTCAAGCATCTGCAATAACAGGAGAAATAGCAAATGCCAGGAGTGGAAGAAGTCAGTCATGGCCTGTTAGAGTACAGGGGAGACATACCTTCTCTTAGATCTACTCTTTTGATTGCAAGTAATAGAAGCTCAATAAGAATGGATTAACTCAAAAAGGGAGACTTTTCGAATCAAAGGAATGCTGTATAGCTCATGGAAACTGAGGGTGTGAACTGCAGCAGGTCTTGTGAGCAGGGGCAGGAACACATTTGGAATCAAGAAAGTTGCTCTGTCCATTGTCCTTCTCCAGCATGACAAGCTCCAGCTCTCTGCTTCCTCTCTGCACTTGTGGAACAACCTTCTCTTTCTGCAGACAGGATCCTCCACTCCTGTGGGCATATGATGGAATTTAGGAGCCCCAGAAATTTTTGATATACCTGTTTTTATGGGTTGAATTGTGTCAACCCAAAAATATATGTTGAAGCCCTAACCCCAAATGTCTCAGATGTGACCTTTTTTAGAAATAAGTTTGTCGCAGATGTAATTATGTAAGATGAGGTCATGCTGAAATAGGGTGCACCCTTCATCCATTGTAAGAGAAGAGACTCTGACCTCCAGGCCATGTGGTGATAGAGGTGGAGAGGGAGTGATGCTCTTACAAGCCAGGGAACGCTAAGGATTGCCAGCAAAAGCCAGAAGCTAAAAGAGGCAAGAAACGAACTTCTCCTTCAGCTTCCAGAGAGAGCAAGACCTTGCTGACATACTGATTTTGAATTTCTGGCTTTTGCAAGTGTGATAGGATAAATCTCTGTTTTAAACCACTCAGTTTGTAGTCCTTTGTTATGATAGCCCTGGGAAATGACTGTACCAATCTGCAGAGTTTTCATCTGAGTCGGGAATAAGACAATGTCATCAACCCAGTCTGGGTTAGGTCTATATAGGCAATGGCAATATTTCTTCAAGGGTGGTTTCCAGAACAGCAGCACCAGCAACTCCTGCAAATTGCCAGAAATGCAAATTCTCAGCCCTATTTTAGTCTTATTGAAACAGAGACTCTGGAGGTGGAACCAAGGAATCTGTTATCAGAAGCCCTCCAGATGACTCCAATGCATCCTCAGGTTTAAGATCCTCTAAGCAATGGTAAGATGACAGGGTATGTTGGTTGTAGGAGTATGGGGAGCAGGCCATAGAGTATAGGCATGGCTTCAGTAGCCCATTTCCATGAGTGGGTAAAGTTCAGAGAGTTCTCAAAGAAGAAAGTTGGGAAGGGAAGAAACCCCAGAAGTTGCCTATTATTCTTCCCTCTTGGATCTTAAGAGAGGCAGCTGAGATTTTAACCATTCCACAATGAAGATGGTATCAGATAGCTAATATTTTGTTACTGGCATTATAAAACCATTATATTTCAGGGCTGGTCTGGACTAAGACAACATAGATGACAAATAATAAGGTGAGATAATTACAGAAATAGTGCTGAAACTGTATAAGTGTTGCTCTACTATACTTGTTCTCAACCTTGGCAGCATATTGGAATCATCTGAATCACCTGGGAGGCTTTAACAACATACTGACACCAGGGTCTCATGCAGCAATTCTCAGTCAATTGGTCCAGGATGCAACTTGGGCATTAGGATTTGTAAAAGCTCTTCGGGTGATTCCAGTGTGCAGTTAAGTTTCAGAACTACTAGGCCAAAAATGTACCATCTTGGCTGTGAGCTGTAAGTATTTTTTGACAGTGGTAAGGATATGATTTGCTCCACATGAGTTTTCTGAGCAGAAGAAATAACAGGAAGGATTTAGCTTAGAACTGCTATGCTGTTTGCTTTGATAAAGCAGAGAGTGCAGTTACAACTGTTATAGGAGGTGGAGTTCAGTTAAGTTCAATAAACCTTCACTGAGCTTTCTGTGTCAAACACTCTGCTAGGTGATAAGGGTACTGTGCTGGACAAAAGGTCCCGTGTTCAGCTCCCTCTCTGGGGCAGGAATCAGATACACAGTATGATCTGGAATTTGGTGTCATCTACACATTGATGGTTCTCAGTGCTGGTGCTCAAGAACATTGGCGAGATTGATCAGTTGCTAGTTTTTGCCACAAGGAATATGTTACAAATCATAGCTATAGCATAAAAGTTTGCCAACAACTGACTTCAGATAAATAAATTATGGTGTACTTAAAGCTATGCCAAAAATCGTGTCACTTGCTCACTTAAATTCCAGCAATTGATGAAAGTTAGAGGTAGAGTTATGGCTGGAAATTGTTCATAAGTCACAAAAGATAATCTACACAATCCTAAATTTACATATGAAAGCACCAATCACATCTGCTGTTTGACCAATGTTATCAATAAAGTCAGTTTTTTCAGCAAAATGTGGATCAGTTTGTCTTTCAGGCATAACTGTCATGTATGTGAAGGGGATAGCTGACATATATGTGAGTAGCTTTAGGGCCACTCATGTATGTGGAAGGGACCTATCAATTTTAAAAACACTTTGCTATTGCTTTTCTCAAAGAGTGCTGTGATAAAACAGGGGAAAGTTGGCTGGACAGAGTTAAAGCCAGTCATTCCATGTGGTCAAGTAGCACCCAAATGTTCTATGAAAGCAGGACCTCAACTCTGTGTTCCTAGCAGAGACCAGCACAGGAGGCCCTGCCTTGCACATAGCAGGTGATCAACAAATGGTTAGATATTTGCTGGGTAATCCAACGTTATAGGATTGCCATCATTGTAGTGTATTAGGGCCCTAGTGACAGGAAACAGCAGAAACCCTCTTGAACTGGTGCAAGCACAGCTCAGAAGTGCCATTAAACTACTATCTCTGTCCTTAGACTCTGCAGTTCTCTCTGTTGGCTTCGAATTCCACCAGCTGCTCTAGGCTTACATTCGACTCCTTTAGCACCCCAGTGGAAAAGGAAGTATTGTTGGCTACAGCAATATCTTGGGGGATCGATTCAGTTGGGCCTGGTTCGGGTCACATGCCCAGTGGATTACACTTATTTCACGAGCCAAGCCGTATAACCCACCCATGAAGTTAGAGTTGGGCTCAGGCAATTTGTCTGAGAGTAAGGGAGGAATAGTTCCTTAGCAGAAATATCAGGTTGCTATATTTAACTTTATAAGTAGGTATTATTTGAAGTAGATATTATTTGAAGAAATGAATGCTCATAGCAAGTGACAGAAACCAACTTGGACTCAGTCTGCTTGATTCTGCAGCTTGGTCTCAAGAGTGGAGGACCCATGAGGCTCAGGAAACTTAAGCTTTAGGGTCACTCATGGATGTGGAAGGGCCCTATCAATTTAAAAAATACTCTGATATTACTTTTCTCAAAGAATGCTGTGATAATTATATAAGCTCCAGGTCCTTCCAAAACCTGAATTTGATTCTTGTTTATCTTCTTTCTCCTGCCTGGATGTCCCTCCCTGCCTGCCATACAAGGCTGCTGAAGGAAATACTTTCCCCAAATTCAGATGCTTCAACTAATTCTGAATCGAAACTTTTTCTGGCTTTCCCAGTAAAACATGATTATTCCCTACTCACAGCACCATCTTTGAAGATCTGGGCCACCTGTCACAGGCTCCCTGGTGTTGCTCTAGTTCTTTGTGTGCCTATCTTATCTTTCCTACTAAAATGCAAGTCACTTTCAGGGTGACTCAGTCATTTTCACAGCCTCCATGGCAGTAAGTATGTTGCTTACCAGAGTATATGCATCTGAATGCATGCATGTTGGATGGGTGGAAAAAAGATCAAGGCATGCCAAGAGCTTCCTTGTCAGGTCATCTTGGAATTTCTGGCTTTTTTTCTTCATTTGAGGCAACTCTTTGGTTTTCCAAAACTACGAAATTAGTTATGCAATACCAATGAATGTGGAGGATTTTCTAAGTAGAGCCTTTGAAAGATAAAGGTGTGAAATATATTACAAACCAGATATTCTCTTAGCTTTCCAGAGGTCATAAAGCATGCATTAAAGGAGTTGCTAGAAATTCTGTCTTATATAATTTCCCTGTGTTTCTTTCCTCTGGGACACTTTCACCACTTATTTGAATGCTTAAGAGGTGGTTAGGTTGCTGTCAAGCATTTACTGGTAAATATTTAATCAGTAAAAGCCTTCTTCAAGTCTCTCTAATGGTGTATGTACCAAATAATACAAGAAATAATAGACTTCTCTCAAATGTACCCTGGACTACCTATAGAAAATGCCCAACTCCTCTGCAGAAGCAAAAATGCTATTTTCTAAACATGATAACTTGACTATTCTGTTTTGTATTAGATAAATCTCTAAGCACTGTGGTTTTCTAATTACTTTTAAGTGCAATTCATTTTTTACCTATGGAAAATGTAATACACCCTCATTATGGAAAACACACAAAAATATATGCTAGGGAAAAATATTTTCTTTTGTAGATTTCTGAAATATTTCAACCAAGGTTTTTTGTGCATTGGTTGGGGCATCATTAATTTTCTTCTCATGGTATATCTCTGTGTGTGCCCCCACGGAGACCTTAAATGCTATTTTAGAACAATTGGTGAGGAACCATCACTTCTCCAACTGGTATAAACAGCCTTACCAATCTGTTAATGAACAAGATTAAGATGAAACAAGCAGGCTAGAGAAATAGGTGTGCATATGTCAAGGAAGAGGAATCTGAGCTCGGTGGGGCAGGACTGCAGGTGACCTGATTTCTATACAGTCTAGTTACATTTCAGTTTCAATGAGCAGAGCATAGTCTGAAAACAACTTATTGTTAGGCTTTTGGAATTTTTGTGATTGTTATTAGTTTTCTCCAGTAAAAGTTGCTTTTGGGAAACTAAATTCTTCTGATCAAACTATGAAGGAAAGGGGAGTTATTATACTGGGTCCAGGTCCAAGGAGGAATCGGGGTGTCTTTTGAGGCCAGATTGGTGTTTATGGAGCCTGGATCAACTCTTGGGAGGGTGGGGAGCCGAGTACGGGTCTTCAAAAGTGATTGTTTCCCACTGAGCATTCCCTCACCTGCTCTGCATTGGTCTGCAAAGACCTCTGCCATCTCACAGACTCACCCTCAGAGACCTCTGCCATCTCAGAGACTGGCCCTCAGAGACCTCTGCCATCTCACAGACAGGCCCTCAGAGACCTCTGCCATCACTAGCACCACCTGGATACCACCCACATCTCCAGCCTCAACCCCGACAAGAACCAAGCCCAGACTGAAAAGCCATCTTGATATGGCCACTTCCCCCAAACTCAGCATGACAGATCCTCTCTTACTAACACCCTTATTTCTATTAAAGGGACAACCAGTCTCCTAATGTCCTAGTCCATAATTGAAGTCATTTTTAAATTTGTTATTTAAAAATCCATTTATTTATTTATTTAAACCCCCATATTGAAATACGATTGACATACAAAAAGCTGCACATATTTAATATATACATCTCAATGAGTTTGGGATGACTATGCTACCAACATGGCTGTAAATACATCCATCACTTCCCAAAGTTTTCTCCCACTCCCTTTATTATTATTGTTGTTGTTCTTGTTTTTTAGTAAGAACATTTAGCATAAGATCTAACCTCTTATCAATCTTAAGTATGTAGTATAGAATTGCCAGCTATAGATGCTATGCTGTATATATAGTAGATCTCCAGAATTTACCTCACACAACTAAAATTTTGTACCCTTTAACCATTACCTCTCCGTTTCCCCCTCCCCCAAGCATCTAGTAACCACCATTCTACTCTCTGCTTCTATGAGTTTGACTTTTTTAGGTTCCACATATAAGTGAGATCATGCAATGTTTGTCTTTATCAGTCTGGCTTATTTCAATTAGCATAACGTCCTCCAGGTTCATCCATGCAGTCATTTCTGGACCCTCCCTGTCATTTGCCCTCTACCACTGCACATCTTCACCAAAATAATTGCCAGGTCCTATTAGTTAGTCCTTGTCATTCCTTTTAAGTCTTTTGTTTTCCTACTGCATATATTATCATGTCTTCCTCATGAAGAGGATCATCTTTAATTACCTGCTTACTAGTTCTATCACCAATATAAAAAGTCTCCATATGCACTCTGTTCTATCCATTTTCTCTTGCTATGTCCTTAACATCTTTATTTAAAAGCATTCTGACTGCCATCACTACTTAGCCTCAGACCTATTAGTTAAGGTTCTTGCTGTCTTCACCGTGTTCTGCATTTTCTAGCCTGGGATCTGGCAGCCCACTCTGCCTGCCTCCCACTCCCCTTGTTTCCCAAACTCTCTCAGACCCTCTGAAACTGCTGCCAGAGCCAGGACAAGGGTGAGGGAAGCATGCACAATTTAAGTAGGTGCCAAAAAAAAAAATTCGGTAATCAAGATAAATACTATTTTAATGTACTATGTTTTAAAAAATGAAAATTAATGTAAAATACATCAAAATGAGCAAAATATCTACATTTTAAATAAAGACAGGATCCGACCTGCAGTAGCATGACTTGGTCTTGGTGGGCTCACCCTCATCCTGATCCTGTTGAATCCTGGCTGTTACTCCATTGCCAATGATGTCACCTCACTTTCAATTTCTCTAGACATTTCCTTCACCTTCCAGCGAACCTATGAAGCCATCGTTTATCTGCTCTCCATTCATCTCCATGGTGGTGATTTATTCTCTCGTGTGCCACATCCCTCGTGGTCATAAAGTAGCTTTAACCAGAGCTATTCCACAGTTGGGAGGTGGAGGTTAGCAGGCAGAGAGCTATGGGGTGAGGCTGGCAAGCTGGAAGTCTCCTGTTCTGATACTGCCAGGTTGAGACTGGCAGACAGGAAACCATCTATATTCACGTGCTAGAAAAACTTGTGGGGAAGCTGCCCATGGGGCATGCTTTTGAACACATTGAGAAACTGCAGCATCAGTAGGACTCACTGAAGAGCCACCAGGAAGCCACCTGGAAGGCGGTGGGGGGGTGCTGCTGCTGTACATGCTGGGAAACTGACTGAGGCATCCATGGAACTTGCTAAGAAGTTACCCTTCAGGTTGCCTCTGAAACTTTCTGGACATGAGCGCCACTGATACTAGCATCTCTCATACCAGAGGAGTACTATAGGATCAAGAAACAGAGAAATCTCACTGCAACCAGGAACAAGCCCTTTCCTTCTTCAGTGTCCGTCCTGCAGCCTCTACTAGCAAAAGAAAATGTTTACAGGATCCATCTCCAGTATCTCAAGCCGGCCAGTGGAGGGTAGATTAGGAGTTGAGAGGCAAGAAGTTGATAACTGGCATCCCATCCATGCTTAAAACTCTTCTGCTTCTCCTTTTTACTGCTCCCAGGTTAAAGTCTAACGTGTTGTAGATGTTATTGTTGAATGAATTTATAAATGAATAAACACCTGGGCTCTGGCATTAACCTGTGGTTGTCATTAGTGTTCACTAAATATTTGTGGCTCTCTCCCTTTGAGGCAATAGCAGGATTGAACTTCTTGATCCCCTTGTATCAGGGTTGAGCTACATGCCTAGTTCTGGCCAATGAGTCCTGAGTGAAAGTGAAGTGAATCTGGAGGCGTGTTGGTAAAAGTTTAACTACTAGGTATCTTTTTTTGGTGGGGAGGAGTGGGAGGAAGAGGGAACCATGATTTGTACTGCTTGCCAGTTTCTGTCGTGTAAACATTCCTAGCCTGGCTGATTTAGAACTATCAACACGACAGATTTTGCTGTGGATTTGGGAAGAGGCGCACACAATTGGCTTTTGTGAGCTGGCATAAGCTGGCCCCACCACACCACTGTGTGTTGCTTCATGCCAAGGCATTTAATTGCTGGTGTGATACCCCTTAGAGCTTTCTTTCCCTTTGTCATGGCAATCGTCACCATTTACGGTGGTGGCACTATCCACCAGGCTGGATATCTGTGTGAACATAAAGAACAGATTTCCTTGCTTCCTGGAAACAAACAGATCAGATGGGTGAGAAATAAACATTTGCTTGTTTATGTCATGAGAGTTTGAAGGTTGTTTGTCTTTTCAGAGTAACTAACCTGACTTAAATTCTCCTAACTGGCTTGATGGAAGTACTTTACACACTTTCCAATTGTTCTTTTATACCACTACCAGGTTAGGTTCTATAAGAATGTTTTCTTCATGTTTAATCTCTAATGAAAATATTTCATGGTCCTGCTGTCCCCTGCCCCATGCTAAGAATATAAAGTCCCGACTTTCTGGCGTAGCACTCAAAGCTCGCCAATTGTGTTGTCACATGGCATTTTCTATCTTATTGCTCACTATTCTATTTCTTTATACAAACTCACCATTCTTCCACATTTCTTTTGCTTTTGCTGTGCCTCACCTTTGTCCCAGTAATTTGCACAACGACTTGAACATGAAATCTTTGTTGAATGTTGCTTCTGCTTATCTCCATTTATCTCAATCAACCAATTCTGATTTCAAATGTAGTATTAAATACATAATTACACAGACATCTAAAGAGAAAATTTTTTGATTGCCTTCAAATAAGTGCAGGTTCCTCCAGATTCTGAAGGTGCTTGCTAAGTAGAAGAAATTCTCTCCCATATGAACCATGGATATATTCTAAACACACACACACATACACACACACACACACACGACTGGGAACGGTATGTTTCTTCACAAAAGACCAGACAGAAGCAGCATTAACAGGGAAGCAAAGTCTGGAGTTCCCTGAAACAAAACGATCTATCAACCTTCCCGCATGTCAGGCACTGCGAAAAGGTCACTTGATCTAATTCTCACACTTCTATGAGGTATAGTGTAGGTATTATTTCCATGTTCCTGATTTAGAAATTAAGATTTAAAGATGTTAATGAATGCGCCCAAAGTCTCGCAGCTAGTGAGCTATGTTTCCTTGCTTACCAGTCCCTTCCTTCCTCTCCCTACAGTCCCTTCTTGCCCGCCCTCCTCTGTGGGGCTATGCGTCTCAGTCCCAGCGGATGAATCCTAATTGCCCTAAAGCAATCCTGATGCCCCCGGCCCCCTGCCGGTGATTGGCTCAGGGGTATGCGTGTGACCCAATTCTAAACGAGGGGATATGAACAGATGGCTGCTCTGAAGTTTCTGGGAAAGGTTGTGTCCCTCTCCAAAAGAGACCCAAAGAAGAGACGGTCCCTCCTTTTACTGGATGTTGCTGTAGCTGGCTATGATACACGCCATTGCTATACTGTCCAACCATAGCCCGAGGACAAATTCAAAGCACTAAGGGTGGCAAAGAAACAAGAAAGAATCTGGGTCTGTGATGACTTCCTGATGTGAAAAATGGACTGACTCTGAAACCACGCTACTCCCAACCTCTTGCTGTGAAATAAAAATTTCTTTGCTGTGTAAGACATTTGAGTTGGGGATTTTATATCACTTGCACCCCAAAGCATCCTAAATAACAAAACGAGGATTTAAATCCAGGTCTGCTTGACTCCAAAGCCCAGGCCCTTTGGAACTATACATATCTTACCTGTGTGGGCCTTCCTTAACGTTCCTAACAATTACCCTCACTCAGGAGACAAGGATAAATTTTAAATTTTCTTACAAGCCACCCTATTTTCTTAGGCAGAAAATAGAAAGGTTATTTTAGAAATGAATTAAAATAAAAAAGTCCTCATGACTTAGAAGGATAATCTTCAATTTCTTCTTAAGTTCCTCTCATTCAAAGTGGATTATCCCTTACTCTTCTGGATATCTCAGGTGTTACTATTAATTATGTCCAGAACTAATTATGTCCAGGTTCAAGTCATTCCTTGACGCCTCCATGGTCTCCATACAATGAGTGACAGTAGATTCTAGGTATTTAGTAATTACTATGAGGTACAACAACTCCTTGAAAGACAAATGTGATATGAGGTCAAAATAATATTATTCATCAAATTCAGTAAACTATGATAATGGCTTGTGGTGATTATTGCCTTTCAGGGCTTCCCCAATTACTCTTTGCCTCTGATAATAATTCAGATGACAGGAACAAAGTGTAGTTGATATGATATATACATCAAGTTGTTGACTTGATGTGTCTCTTAGTGGCCAAGAATCATTATGGGTATTAAAGAAAGAAATATCTAATATAACAAGCAGTATGAATTCTAATTCATCACTGTGTAAGAGGACTAAACTAGGCAGGTGGCTTAAAAAAAAAAAACCAGCAGGATAAAAAAGCCTTAGAGTTCAAATCAAAAAAGGAACCAACCCATTTAGACAACTTGATCTCTGCTTCTAAATTTGAATACTAGATGTTCTGTTGATAAAAAATGTGGGCATACTAAAGGAAAGGAGCACCAGCAATGAAAGATAGCTTTCTTCCTCAAAAGAGATACACAATTAAAAGTATGCAAGATGGACACACTAAAACACCTGTGCCATGAAAACTAATTAATGATATAGTAGCATTATAAATGAGTTTTAAAGGAAAAGTTGGTCTATTCGGGGGTCCTGCATAACTCATGATTGTTGGCATTCTCCAGGTGGCTTTCTTTTTTATTTTTTTTCCTTGTTCTTGTTCTTTTCTTTCTTCCTTTTTTTTTTTTTTTTTTTTTTTTTGAGATGGAGTCTCACCCTGTCGCCCAGGCTGCAGTGCAGTGGCACAATCTCGGCTCACTGCAACCTCCACCTCCTGGGTTCAAGCCATTCTCCTGCCTCAGCCTCCCAAGTAGCTGGGATTACAGGCATGCGCCACCACACCCAGCTAATTTTTGTATTTTTGCAGAGATGGGGTTTCACCTGTTAGCCAGGCTGGTCTCAAATTCCTGACCTCAAGTGATCTGCCCACCTCGGCCTCTCAAAGTGCTGGGATTACAGGCATGAGCCACCCGGCCTGGCCCCAGATGGCTGTCTTGAAGTGATAAGATTACTAAAATGATCTTGAAAGTCAGGGATTAATACAGAGTTATGGGGGAAGGGAGGACACATTTTTAGGTAGGGGAAGTGTTATATGCAAACAAAAAGAAAGAATGACCAACTTACATATTGGTAGCATTTGAGTAATATTGTTACTGTTGACATTATCTGGGGGCAAAGGGAGGCAATAAGTTAGTGAGGCATTGATGAGATACAGTGAGATATCCTGGGAGTCCAGGAATAGGATATTCAAATCAAAATCTTATGCCGCCTTTCTTCTAAGCGGTAGCTATGTATTAGTAGAAAAAGCACTAGAGTTCGAATCTGAAGACTTGAGGTTAACTTCCAGATCTACTGCTCATTACACCACAGTCTCCTCATTTATAAAATCAGGATGATGATAATACCTATCTTGTGTTGATGATATGCAAATTAAGTGGGATAAGGTATTGTAGAAATACCTAGCTTACTATTTGGCACAGAGAAGGCTCCACAAGTGTTTATTCTTGAATGTTATCCAAAATTAAAGCATGCACCACCCCATGGTGACTATTTCTGATTTATGTATTGTTAAGACACTATAAATAAAGGTCAGAACCCACTAGAAAGTCAGCCAGTCAATAATAGATTAGTGTGGATTTGTTGAGTAGGCACCTCAGGTCTTGAATGCTTTTCCTCTTAAATCAGTTGCCTGAATGTTGAGATGAATAAATTTCAATTCTATTGGATTGAGGAAGTACTGCAAGGCTTGCACCTTCCACAGGGATCCGCCCTAATGTCAATACCAAGCTGACCACGGGTACTCCTGTAGCACTCCCTTTGCTGCCGAGGTGGTCAGCAGGAGGTGCTGTGCTAGATGGTAGATGGTATCTGTAAATGAATTTCCTGTGGAAAGGCTCTTTATCACAAAGTTTTGACTGAGCAGTAACCAACACTGTAATCAAGCTGACATCACAATTTATTTTCCTCACAGCTACTATAATTCCTCTCTTTGCCCACAAAGCGTTGTGGCCCAGTTGCTTTCAAAGATCTCAGGAAATGCTCTGTGGGCAAATGAAAGGGGAGTCACGAATAACTGATAATTATCTACACACCAAACAGCACATTACCAGGTTCTCCTATGGCCACAAAAACGAAGCACTGGAAATAATTAAGGGAGTCTGCCTGCACACCCACAGCCCAGCAGCTGCAGCTGCAGTGGTGGAAACAGGTGTTTGGTGATGGGGAGCAAGGTGTGTGTAGGCATCCGAGGATCATGAAGTGTTAGCACTTAGGCTAGGAAAAAAGTTTCTATCCTCAATTTTCTCATTCACGAAATCAGAATTATTACTCATCCTGCTTTTCTCAAAATCACAGAGAATTCTAAAAGGCAGATTTTATAGTTCAGAACCACACCATCCAGTAGGACTTTCTGCAATATTGGAAATGTTCTATACATCTGCACACCCAACATGTCCACCAACTCGATAGTCACTAGTCATAGATGGCTATTGAGCACATGACGCTTGACTAGTATGACTGAGGAGCTGAATTTTAATTTATGCTCAGTATTAATTAAATTTAAATAGCCACACGTGGATAGTGGCTACTGCACTGGACAGCACAGGGAGGTTATCTAATTGAAACTACACTTCTTAGTCCATATTCTTCCTAGAAGTACCCCAAACCTATAATCCAGTCTTTGGGCATCAGTTAATGATGAGAAAATCATGATTGCCCAAGATGGTTCCTTCCATTTCAGGCTTCTGCTAAAGAAAGATGAGCCTATTTTGTCTCCATGTCAGCTTTTAGCATTTTCTACATTCTGGTCTTAGTGCCTTCTTCTGGGGACACTCATAGATGTAATTCCTCAATCTAGATGAGGGGCTTTTGAGAACTTGAAACATTTAGTATGTCAGTGGTTAATCTCTACTTCAGGCAAAACATGGTTTGAATACTATCTATTAAGAGAACAACTTTTGGAATCAGACTCCTTGGTTTTAAATATCAGCTTCATCATTCACCAAATACATGAGAGAAGACAAATTGCTAATCATAATCTCTGATTATTGTTTTCCTCCTCTATAAGATCATAGGAGAGTTGAAAGAATTAAATAAGATTGAACAGGTGAAACCACTGGTAGAGTCCATGGCCCATTGTAAACAATCCTGCAGTGTATTTTTTATTGTCAATGGTCTCCTCTGGATGTTCTCCCATTTATCAATGTCCTCTTAAAATGCAATATCCAGAACTCCGAGAATGTGTGTATACGTGCTTTGTAATCTAAAAGGCCACAAAAATATGATATATTGGTTTTGTTCTTATTGTTAGGATCACCGGGGTTTCCCTCTCTCCTCTACTTCCCTTATTTTAGTCATCATGGTGTTTGGAGCTTCTTTTGTACCCTAAAGCAGTACAACAGCTTCTTGGCTAGAAGAATCTTAGGACAAGATTGGTTCAATCCTGACAGAGAGAAATGTTCAGAAACATTTATAAGTCAAAATATTACCATATTTCTCAGTCTCTACTTATGAGCTGTTCCCTTCCATCAGGCATTACGCCAGAAAGAGCTGGAGGAGAGATGCTTGAAAGGGTATAGCCATAAGATGTTCTCTTCTTTCATATGGCAGGATTTATACCCATGCCACAGCCAAAAAGCAAATTACTTGCATTTTACATATGAGTGGTACCAGAAAAAAATAATTTGGGGCAATTAAAAATAAATTGAAAAAGCAACAACAAAAACAAGAGTATTATTCCAAGTATGTGATCATCAAAGCCATGTTTTCAGGTGGTAATTCACAGAAATGAAGACAGGCAGAGCTGGTGTTGTGCTGGAGTCTACTTCAAGTGGCATGAAAGAGCTGATTACTAAATTTTCAAAAAATTGGCAAGCTGGTTGACATCACAGTGGTAGCCTGAAACTGGCCGTGGAAGGAGTATTTACACACTGAAAACTGGCAAATACTACTCCGCTACCTTCTTGAACTCTTCCGCATCTCAAGTCCCCTTTGCTTCTTGGGTATTTCATTTCTTCCTTGAATCCAAAGATAAAGGACGTCCACCTGTTGAGTTTAGTATGGCATTTTGGAATCCAAACAAAGTCACCAGATATCACCAGATCATCCTGGAATAATTGAAGTAACCAAGCACCCAAGGAAGACATTTTAAAATGTTGTGTTGGAAATATCTTTGCTCACTTATCTTGTGGACTAATACTGACATCTAATGCTGCCTGCATCCCGTGACTCACTGTGGGATCTTAGGGAAATCATGTAGGCTTTGATTGCCTGCCTGGGGAGTGGAAATCTTCTCAAGCCTTTTCTGTCTTAGATCTTAGCTAGGTTAACTAAGAATAAGATATAGGTTACAGTGGAAAATATTAAATGCAATTTCAAGAAAGCATCTTTCATGAGGTTTAAATTACTTTGGGTGTAAGTAGTAACCCTATCATGAAAGAGTCTCTGTATTTAACATAAGTTTTGTTCAGAATGGGTACTGAATTTTGCCCATTGCTTTATCTGCATTGTCTAATTGATACATCATCTTATGATAATAGATTTTTGTAGGTGCATTTTTAATCACCTAACATTTATTAAAGACCTGGTATATACAAGACCCTCTGCTGGAAGCTTTATTTATCAAAAAACAAAGACAAAAACAAAAACAAAACAAAAAACAAGAAAAACAAAAAAACCCATAAATGTTGCAAGTGCTGAAACTGAGAGCCAAGCAGTCCAGTAATGCCCCAGGCCACACAACAGTAACACACAGAGCCAGGATTTCATTTTTCTGACTTCTAGAGCAGAACTTTGTTTATTCCACTAGCAGTGGTTGCATCCCACTCGCAAGAGTAATTGATTTGGTAAATAAGGTACTTTAAAAATTTTTGAGCCAACATTTATAAAACTTGGAGAATTCACATAGCCATCAAAAATGTTCTTTCATTTATTAGCTATTGATGAATATTCTGCAGAGTCAGCTTTGGCCGGGTAGCTATGCCCCTTTGGAGGGAGCACATGCTTGCCAGGTCCCTGAAGTCTCAGCCACCCTCTACTCAATGAAGATTAGGGTCAGTGCCACTTGCCAGCTGCTCACGGTGGCATTTTTCTTTATAGTAGAGAAATAGTTCTCTGCAATTATGCCCTTATGAAAAATGGGAAAATAAAAAGGTAGACTTGAAGGGATGATGGCAGAGAGCATATTTCTTTGTGGAAGTGAAGTTTACATCAGTACATCTACTATGAAAGTCACCTGCCTTGGTCCCCTGATGGGACTGGAAATGCTGCAGGGTATGAATCGCCTACTCGATCCTTGTAGGGTTCTCTCTTTCAATGCATAACCAAATTTTCTTTCCATTATAGTATTTTTTTAAAATACTTGCGTTACCAAGACTTGAATTATAAAGGCAATTGATTCAACGGGGATAAAGATGCTTTGTGCTTCAGGGTTTCAGCCTGGCAATAACTGCATTATTTTCCCTTCAGGAATATCAACAGTAGAGATATTTTTATAGCTATAAAAGAACAGCTATAAAAACCTGACATCACTGAGTAATTCAGCTTTGATCAGATGGAACTTATATGCAGAGGTAATGACCTTTCCTTTTCTATTCCCACTGACACTATTCTTGGCACAAAGATGCCCATCCATTCTTTTCATCTTTATTACTTGATGAAAAAAGCTCAAAGCCACTAAAACAGAATTGACTTATAGCTACCTAGTCCAGTGGCTTTCCCTTAGCTGGGGTTGTTTGTTCCAAATACCGAGTATAACATTGCTAATATAGCTCCCAGTAATTCAAATCACTGCCCCCACGGGTATTGACAAGTAGCATAATGAAAATTTGTATGTAGAAGTAATACATGCTTTTTAAATTGTTTTCAAGTTCTCCAATGAAATTACTAAGGAAGGAAGGAAGGAGGAAGGGAGGGATGGAGAGAGGGGAGAGGAGGGAAGGGAAGGGAGAAAGGGACAAAGGGAAGGATGGGGAGGGGGAGAGGGAGGGAAGGAAGGGAGGGAGGCAGGGAAGCGGGGGAGGGAGGGAGGGAGGAAAGGAAGGAATGAAGGAAGGAAGGAAGGAAGGAAGAAAGGGAGGACCCTGCGTTCATTTACGAAGACTGCCTTAAAAAAGTATTACAAACTGGGAGGCTTAAACACCACCACCAAAATTTATATATATTTTATATAAATGTATACATATATATGTATTTTTTTATGGTTCTGGAGGCTTAAAGTTCAAGATCAAAGTGTGTCAGCCAGTTTGGTTCCTTCTGAGAGCTGTGAAGGAAGTGCGTCCAGAGTTTGTTCCTGCCGGTGGGTTCGTGGTCTCACTGACATCAAGAATGAAGCCACAGACCTTCATGGTGAGTGTTACAGCTCTTAAAGGTGGCACAGACCCAAAGAGTGAGCAGCAGCAAGATTTATCCTGAAACGTGAAAAAACAAAGCTTCCCCACTGTGGTAGGGCACCCGAGCTGGTTGCTGATGCCGGCTGGGGTGGCCAGTTTTTATTCCCTTATTTGTCCCCGTCCATGTCCTGCTCATTGGTCCATTTTACAGAGTGCTGATTGGTCCATTTTACAGGGTGCTGATCGGCCCATTTTACAGAGTGCTGATTGGTCAATTTTACAAACCTCTAGCTAGCCACAGAGCACTGATTGGTGCATTTTTACAGAGTACTGATTGGCGCATTTTACAAACCTCTAGCTAGCCACAGAGCGCTGATTGGTGCGTTTTTACAAAGCACTGATTGGTGCATTTTACAAACCTCTTGTAAGACAGAAAAATTCTTCAAGTCCCCACCCGACCCAGAAGTCCAGCTGCCTTCACCTCTCAGGAGGATCTATTCCAGGCTTTTCTCCTTGGCTAGTACGTGGCTGTCTTCTCCCTGTTTCTTCACATCTCCTTCCCACATTTTCTCAAAAGGACACCAGTCATATTGGATTAGGGCTCACACTAATGACCTCATTTTACCTTAATTTCCTGTTTAAAAACTCTGTCTCCAAAAATAGTCACACTCTGAGGTACTGGGAGTTAAAACTTCAACATATGAATTTTTGTGGGGGACACAATTCACCTTCTGAGAGCCCGCCTTCCCCCACCAATTCAGAGGCAATAGGGAAACCTTCAAAGAATAAGCAGAAATGAAATCACTCACTTAAATCCAGAGTGAACCACTCTGAATATTCTGACATTTTTTTCTTCCCAGTTTCATTGTTTGTAACATGCAGTGCTGGTTTCCTAACATGGTTGAAATCATATTATATTATAATATAATTAATATAAAATGAGCAGTTTGTGGTTATTACAGGTTTAAATGTTTATAGCATCTGTTCCAACTTTAGGAATCAGTAAAATATGCCTTATAAGAAGAGTTTTATCATCGGATCTTATTTTTGCCATCAATTTATCTATGTAACAAGTGGTTTATTTATTCATTGGATGTCTGAAATGATTTAAGAATGAGATTCTGTTTTTTCTAAACTGGTAAACTCCAATATCTTTGTCATTGTATGCATTTATTTTTGGTCATATGTCTGCTTAGACTCTTTACTTCCTTCATGAATATTTGAATTTATGGGTCTATAATTGGACATATTATTCATTGCCATTTTCAAATTTAATATCATTTATTAACATGGTATTCATAATCATTTTTATTAGGTTGGTGCAAAAGAAATTGCAGTATTTTGCCATTAAAAGTAATGGCATTAAAAGTAATATATTCTTTTTTTACCCTTTCTCAGTTTATATGGCTCATTTGATATTTTTCTGTATTTGCTTATTAGATTTATCAACAATCAGTCTACTTTGTTAGGATTTTTAGGGATGTTGTCATGACATTCATCTTTTTGTATTTATTTATTTTTGGAGATACAGTCTTGGTCTATCCCCCAGGTTGGAGTGCAGTGGTGTGATCTTGGCTCACTGCAACCTCTGCCTCCTGGGTTCAAGGGTTTCTCCTGCCTCAGCCTCCCAAGTAGCTGGGATCACAGGTGCCTGCCATTACACCCAGCTATTTTTGTGTTTTTAGTAGAGATGGGGTTTTGCCACGTTGGCCATGCTGGTCTCGAACTCCTGACCTCAGGTGATCTGACTGCCTTGGCCTCCCAAAGTGCTGGGATTACAGGTATGAGTCACTGTGGCCGGCTGATATTTATCATTTCGACTGTTTCTGTGTCTTTGTCTAAATTTGTTTCTTCTTTTATTTTTATTTCTTTTAATTTTTCTTGACTTTTTTATTATTTGAAAATTCTAACTGAATTCACAAGTGCCTAATTTTCCTGAAGAAATGCATCTTAAGTATTATACTGTTAACTACCCCTGGTTTTTATAGTGAAATGCCCTATTTTAATTTATTGCTATTAAATATTCTGTCCTTGTATCCCTAATTAACTCCTTAAACAATAACTTAAGCAGGAGACTGGGATTTTCTCTTTTTTCCTTGAAATTCTTTGGGCTAATCTTTGAAAAAGCAACTTAACAGTAGGCTGATATTTCAAGATGGGTTGCTGGGTGGCTATGCACGGTCAGGTCGTGGCGGGTCAAGCCGAGGGTGCTGTCCACAACATACAGTTTTGGGTGAAAGGAGCTTTGTGAATAGTATCCCTTGGACTTGTGCTGTGCACAGTCTGCGAGAAGTTGTTTGAGGATCCAACAGACAAGGTTCATGCCTTATACCTCAGTAATTCCCATCCCAGAATTTTATCTTGAGAATTATGTAGAAGAAAAAAACTGCATTAACTATTATCCATGATGGTAAACAATTACGAACAGTGACCATATTTTAGATTTTAGTATCCACAATTAGAAATAACCAAAAGTTTTATAAATTTCTATATCAGGTACCTCAAATAGACAAGCTGTTACACATTCATTAATAATGACAACATTAAAAAAGCAGAGAAAATATCCTAACTATATTGTTAAGCCAAGAATTACAAATTATTATATCCATTCTGATTGTAACCTTTATATCAATATTTAGTCACATAAACAAAAATGAGGAAATATTAAAAACCAAAAATAATTATAGATTTTTTTATTTGGTCAGACATTCTTAAATTTTACAGATACGTACAATTTTTTTCTGATCTAATCAAAGGAAAAGAGGCATGGTTCCTTGAAAATTAACATTTGGTGCTTTTAGAAGTCAGAGCATTATTCTTTTGACTGAAATGTGCTTTTTTGAAAGGGCGTTTCAAGCATAATAGGTGCTCTACACAGACTTGCTGTAGAAGAAGTGGCTGTGTTCTCCTTTGTCACAGGTTGCCCCAGCCTCCTCCTGTCACTTGGCATCTTTGTATGCCTATGAATTTTCCAAGAGCCAGTACGTGAAGCCTCCCTGACCAGTTAACCACAATCACCAACTGTGCAGGCAATTTTCCCCTCTTATTGGCGGTGATAATCCCTGAGAAGGCTGGTTTTCATAGAGGGAAGTAGAAATCCGCAGTGGGTGGTTTTCAGTCATTTCGACAGCACCTCACAGAGCTGGCCTCTCTTTCTGAAGCACAGCAGGCAAATTGCTCAGTTGTCAGTCCACACGTGAGGACTTGCCATTTTTCAGAATTTCCCTCAAAAGCTTACCTAATTGATGATAAAGCCATGGGCTGCCTTTGACCACATTAAGAACATTAAAACAATGTAATCGAGTTATTGGGTTTCATGTAGATGTCATTTAAATTCAATTGTGTTTTATTTCAAGAATCCAGTTTGCATGTAATTGTAGCTTTAGGGAATTATAAAACAGATTTTCCGGAGAGGATCTGGGTAGATTCTCATTTCTTATCCCAAGACCAGTACCCTTGTTAATGTCAGTCCCCTGAAAAGAATAAAAATTTTATGTGTAAAGAGACAAGATAAACAGAAAATGTTTAATTCCACACTACAGTGCAGATATTGGTGATATTTCGGCCAGGACATATCTGAAGAATAAATATAAACATTTGATTCTAGGCTGATTTATTCCTCTGAAAAACAAACACACCACAAATGATAAATCAGAAACACAATGTCCTGACTCCTTTAAAAGCCCCAAACCTGTTATTTAGAAATGATTGGGTGCTCTATAGACTGATTTCAAGTGAACTCAGAAAATAATCATTTGAAAGAACAGTTTTTCAATTTACAAATTTGATGGAGTTGGTTGCCTCATGTAACCCCTGAGTTGTCTCTCTTTCATGGTTTTCACTGATTTCATACTTAATGTTTGTTATTACAATGGAAACATTTGGCCAGATACAATCTAGAGACTTTGCATGGCTTTTAATGAGAAGAAGCATACCTTAAATCTATGTGAATAAGGCTTTCAGAAGTGTTTGCAAGGCCTGAACATTTCCAAAGCACTATACCCAATCCTCATGCCCTTGACCTTAAGGGCTAGAGATGCACTAGAATTGGGAGAACCAATGAGGGCAGACCTCATCAGAGAGGCTGTTTTCAGGAGCAGAATCAGGTCACAGAGTTTAGACTTGGGGTCAACAATCCAAATGGACTAGCCAATGTGCACAGCCAAATAAGATGCAAGTTAGCAATGGGGAAAATTCAAAGGACAATATTGGGCAAGGGAGACTAAAGTGTGCCATTCTTAAGGGTAAGTGTCTAGAAGTGCTGCTTTCTCTGTCCTTTGGTGGCTCGTGTGGGTATGCTGGGAGTTGTTTAAAGGAGAAGTTGGAGAGAGACCATTTAGGATTGTTGTTATTTAAAAAAAAAAAAAAAATGCTGTGGCTGGGTGTGGTGGCTCCTGCCTGTAATCTCAGCACTTTGGGAGGCTGAGGCAGGAGGATTTCTTGTGCTCAGGACTTCAAGACCAGTCTGGGCAACATAGGGGGATACATAAAATAAAATAAAAATAAAAATAAATAAAAAAATAAAATAAAATAAAATAAAAAATAAAAATAAACAAAAATAAATTTAAAAACTAAACTAAACTAAACTAAAATAAAATAATAAAATAAAATAAATAAAATCAAATAAAATAAATAAAAATAAATAAAAAAACTAAAATAAAATAAAATTAAATTAAATTAAAAAAAATAAAATAAAATAACCAGGTGTGGTGGCATGCACCTGTTGTCCCAGCTACTCGGGAGGCTGAGGTGGGGAGGTCAAGGTTGCAATGAACTGTGATCACGCCACTGCACTCCAGCCTGCGTGACAGAGTGAGACTCTGTCTCAAAATAAAAAATCAGAATGCTGTGAATTCTTTGCCACTCCTTCTCGTACCTTGTGAGTCACTTGTAACTAATCCAATGTGGCAGAGATGAGTTTTAAGGCTAGGTTAGAATAGGACAGGGGGTACAGCTTCTACCTTGTTTACTAAATCATTAGCTCTAGAACCCTAAACTACCCTGTAGGAAACTTGACTTCCCAGGAACAGCCATGCTGGGAGGGAGCCCACACCACATGGAGAAGCCACATATAAGAGCTCTGGTCAGTAGCCCCGGGTGGCATCAATCACTGAACACGTGAGTGAGTTCATCTTGAAGTAATTCCGGTGCCCAGCATTTGAGTCACCAACTGCCATTGCATCTTTTCAGCTAAGGTCCCAGATCTCATAGAACAGAGATAAACTGTCCCCATTGTGCCCTGATCATAATAAAATGGTTGTTTTATGATTGTATGTTTTGGAATTCAAACCAGAGTAGAGGCATTAATAGACCCACTGGATAGATGAATATATACTAAGTATGGAGATAGCCCAGTTTATTCATTGACCTCCAAGTTCACTTTAAGTTTTAAATCAGTATTCTGAATTTCTCAAATATGTCTCCCTATCTAGGAAAGGCAACAAAGGTTTCAGTGGATCTTTTAAGCTATGGTATAAAATCCCTGCTAGAAATAATAGAGCAAGCTAATCTGAAGTTCCTAAGTGAAATGCCTGCTTTAAATGCCAGGGAAGGTTTGGCTAAATCCACAATCACATGGAAAAGGCAAAAAGGAAAGTAAGGCATGTAGATGTTTACAGTATAACTCTTTGTACCTCTTCGTATGTTAGAAATAATTTATAATTCACTGTTTTTTTTTAAGTGGAAGAGATTTGATAAAATCTATAAGACAGTGTGTGTATATGTGTGTGTGCACACATGTGCATGGGTGTTCATAAATTCACTGTATCACATCCTGCAAATAAAAATAAAGTTTAGGTCATGGAGCCAAGACATTAAAGCTGGAAACATAAAAGGCAAATAAAATCTGCGTTCAGTTGGACTGTGCAGGGGCTTCTGATCTGTTTCCTCAAACTCATTGAAATAAGACTCACTTACTTTTATGGGCCACCAGAGATATGATACCTGGCCGAGCCTGCCAGGCTTAAGCTGATGTTTTGCAGCAATCTTTACCAGGGTGCTTTTGCACTTCATAGATGATAAACTTCAGCATTTCAACATTTTATGGGTTTGGGCAAAGGTGAATAGGTATACACAAAGTTACAGCAAAAGAAATATAATTGACCAGGTGTAAGTTACTGAATTTAGAGCAATTGTCAACGGCCCTTGAGAATGCCTTGCAATTAATGAATCAGCTCTACCTACTACAAGGAACAACTAAGCCTCAGCGCAGCCCCACACAAAACAGATCAATTGGAGTGTGGGCTGGTGATGGATGCTGAAGCAGATCAGCAGAGAGGGAAGTAAAAGGTTATGAATGGTGGAGAAAACCAAGATCAAGTCAAGATTAAATATCATTTCAACTACCATGACCATAAATTCATTGATTCCTTAGTAAAAAAGATTGATATTCAACTACCAATGATCATGTCTGTCATTTATCCTTTGTAATTTTCTGCTTGAAAAACATTTTCATGGTGAAGGGTTCATCATTCTCAACCCACATTTTGGTTTTCTTTATCAAACTCAAGGGCTAAAGCTATGCTTTTAGGTCTGTTTACAGAAAGGCACCTGAATCAAGTAGACCAAACATATCTGTGTAGGCAGTTAAAAGTAACAGGGATAGACTTAACGTATAGTCTTACCAGGAAGATTGGAGAACTGGGTTTGAAAAGTGGGCAGAAAGTCATGTTACCAGGACCACAGCCCAAATAATGGCTTAGAACTATTCCAATGAGAACATCACTGCTTACACTGAGCACTGGTCACCAGATACTACAGCTGACATTTCTGTCCCTGGTGCCGCAATAAGCCAGGTGTTTCTGCTACCAGTTTAGCCCTGTGGAAGGATTTTCCAGTGTCCTTCTTATTTGCAGTACAGTCCTCCGGGTCAAGTCTGAGCAGATGCATCTGATTGGTCAAACCTAGGTTATGTGTATCTGATTGGCTAACCTTGTGTCAGGTGCCTAGGCCTCACTTTAAGAGATCCTGGGAAAGTTGTTATCTGGAGTTGTCAGTTTCTATTTCCCACCAAGATGAAAAAGGTAGGGAATTACTTAAATATAGGAATGGAATATGGATGCTTCATGGACAAAGAATGACAGATACGTACTAAAAGTGCCAATTCTGTGATAATTTTTGTTAGACACTTTACATACATTTTCTTATTAATTTTTACAACAACCCCTAGTAATAGTAAATATTATTATATTAATTAAGTCTCAGTGTGTGTGTGTGACCAATATTTAGATAAGAGAATTAATGTTTAGAGAGTTGAAATAACGTTTCAAGGTTATACATGAAATGAGTATGCAAACCTAGGTCTGTTAGTCTACAAAGTATCTACAGAAACGGGCTGCCTGAAAAATGAGGATTCCTCTTTGTAGCATATCTAGGGGACCAGCAAATTCATTCTGAGCCCAGGTAAGCCTAAAGTTTATAGGATATAATTTTATGGAAAGTCCAAAGAATGTGTTCTGCAGTAACAAATTTATTTCTCCTCCAATATTTTTAATTGATGAATTATGCAAATAAAAATTATGAGGACCAAAGTTGTTCTGGAGATTGACTTAAGTGATTTACACCAGATTAATGCTCTGGAAAAATATGCTTGGCAGGGAAATTAGCCCAGGCTCCTCGTGTGATGGAGATCAAAATCACCCATTTTCTTGAGGAAGGTACTTGTTACAGGATTTCACATTTCCCTCACAAACAGTTAGTACATCACACACGCTGTTAAATAATGTAGACCCACTGACTTTACTACAAAGTTACGTTCGCATGCTCAAAACAGTAAATCTAGAGCCATGACAACAGGGCACTGGGACCAACTGCCAAGCTTGAGGCAGCCAAGTCCACCTTCCATAGATGCCAACTGACAAGCCCTTCTACTTGGGACTCCAACCACCATTTCATGTTGGAAGTGTCACCTTCAGAAACTAACCCTCAGTAAGCCCATGAGGCTTCCCTTCAGGGAGTTACGATGTCATATGTAAATGAAGGGTAGTCTTATGATAAAATCCTAGAACCTCTGAGTTGGAAAGACCTTCAAGAGTACTTACTTCCCTGGTATACAGTGAATTACTCTGTACCCGGGGTTTGGGCTGTTTCTATGTGGGAGAAATTTGGTTCCATTTAATTCATTCTCACCCAAAGGAGGTCAGAGAGTGAAAGAAGGTGGTATATCATGTCTGGTAAAGAAAATCTGAGGCACACCTGTGGGCCTTCATCCCAGGAGCCCTAGCAAAGGTCTTCCCCTTCTCCTTTCCACAAACACACTTGACCCTTCACATAATGCCTTCAATGATACTCCATAATGTTCAAGGCCTCCTAAAGCCTAAACTGTAGACGTTTCTCCTAAAAACAGGAATGTATTTTCACAGTTGTGGAGCCAAGTCCACGACCAAGGTGCTGGCAAATTCAGTTTCTGGTGAGGGTTCTTGTCTTGGCTTGCTGACAGCTGCCTTCTCACTGTGTTGTCACCTGGCCTTTCCCTGGTCCCTGCCCATGGAGAAAGAGCAAGAACTCTGTAGCTCTCTTCTTCTTTTTTAAGAGATAGAGTCTCACTCTGTTGCCCAAACTGGAGTGCACTGGTGTGATCATAGGATCATAGCTTACTGTAGACTCCCACTCCTGGCTAGAGGGATTCTCCCCATCAGCCTCCCAAGTAGCTTAGACTACAGGCATGACCCACCATGCCTGGCTAATTTTTTAATTTTTTTTTATAGAGATAGGGGTCATGCTTTTTGGCCAGGCTGGTCTCGAACTCCTGTCCTCAAGTGATCCCCCAACCTCCCAAGCAATCCTCCAACCTCCCGAAGTGCTGGGATTATAGGCATGAGCCACTTCACCCAGCTCTAGCTTTCTTCTTATAAGAAGACTAATCTTTTGGATCAAGTTTTCACCCCATGACTTCATTTGACCTTAATTACTTCCTTACAGGGTCCATCTCCAAATACAGCCACACTGCGGATTTGAGAGCCAGCATATAAATTTGAGAGGGACACAAACATTCAGTCCATTAACACAGTGGCAAGGAAGTTGGGGTAGTTTTTCATCACATCTTTCCCTGGTTAAGTGAAGTTCACCCCAGACCCTAGCATAGGCTGAGCACACTTGGCAGCCAGAGAACACCCTGAAGCACAGACACAGGAAGCTGAGGAAACTTCAGCAGGCAAATTCCAGGGTGGGTCTTGGAGATACAGGCTGGTCATGATGGCATTTGCTGAGGGCTGTGAGTAAAACTGGCTGACATCTGCTTGCTGTGTGGTCCATAGGCCTCTAACTAGGCTTGGGTCCTAAGCCCCTGGGCACAGCCCTGGGCAAGAGTGCTCAGATCCTCCTAGTGTTTTGCATGCCACTGGCCCTGCATTGCCAAGTGAGTGGCTGTTAGCCCTCCAATAATGTGTTATAGTCAGTGAAACCAGCCAAGGAGACCCTAAAGGAAATAAAGCTTTACATACAAAGAAATGAAATATGCCATGTGCTTTACATTTTTAGGACCTTATAAGAATTCATGAGTTGGAAGGACAGCCTAGAAAACACCTTGTCCAGCTGCCATTCGATGCCATTCTTTCTCCAAATACATACTACCATATGCTTGTTAGGTAACTTCCTAAATAGCAACCAGGACACCTAATTATGCACTGTCTTCTTAAAAGACTCCCAGGAAATAATGCATCAGATTCCCTTGTCTTAGTGAGCTTAGCAGTCTGGAAGCTCTTCCTTTTGTTCAAAGTCTTTTATACTTTTAAGTCATCTATTGCTATTTACGTTATCAACAATCAAACTAGCCTCTATGTACGTGTAGCAATTTTTATTTGCATGGTACAAACATAGCCTCTTTGGAACCAGAATGGAATAGAGCTTCATTTGTATTGCAAAACTTGCAGAAGAAGGAAAAAAAAAGAAAGAATATCTATTTAGTATCTGACTGTCATCATAGCAGCTAATACTTTCATGGTGCTCATCAAGTCCAAGACATGTTCCAAGAGCTTTACGTATTTAAACCTTATGAAAACACCATGCAGTAGGTAATATTAGTTCCACATTTTGCACACAAAAAACTGAAGCCCAGAGAAGTTAAGCGCCTTTTCCACAGTCACACAGCTGTCCATGGGGGAGTAGAATGTAGTCCAAGTAAGCTGGCTCCCTGGGCCATAGTCCTAACCAGGAGGGTGCCCTCCTTTTACATAAGCAATCATGTTGTCTTAGGGTGGTGGGGTGGTCAGGGAACTTTTCAAAGAGCTATATAGAGTAAGGGATGAAACATAGCTCCCTCCCAGATTTTCTTGTCTGTAAGTCCTTTCTACCGTACAACCTAAGGTCATAACCAGGTGACCCTTTATGCTAGAAACAAGTTTGCTTCTTTCATCTTTTGTGTGATATTTTCCTGAGAGGTTTTCATGGGTATCTGTTGGATGGGAAAACTCTACCTATTCAATTTTTATGTATTTTTATATTATAATTCAGTTTACAGAGGATTTGACATGGCTAATTTTCAGTATATTTTGTTTCACAACTCAGACTTTTGGATCTTCTCAACCTAGTCATACAGAGAGAAAGAGGTGGTAGATTACTAAAACTAGCTTAAAGGAGGTAAATTTAGGACAAATAAATATAAAGATGATATGGAGCTCGTTCTCTCAAGATGGTGAAAATGTAAATAGGTTCAAAGATGGCTGAGATAAATTTGTAAATGACAGTCCTTAAAGATCTTATTAAGGAAAATTGAATGTAGGAGAAATATACTTCTATCCTATTTATGGAATTTTTTTCTAGTTTGTACATTTTCTCATTTCAACATTTTTGGAATGGCTCTTCTTTGCCTCCTACCAGTTTCTTAGCGAGAGAGGGGGATGCTCTTGGCCTCCTGGTTTTACTGTTGTAGCTAGCAGAGTTCTGAATGAGAGTCTAACACCATAAGCAAGGGTGCCCTGCATACTGGAAGAGTGGACCCCACTTTCATGGTGTATGCTGAGGCTCCCATCTGGTGAAACATTTCAATTCTATAGTAAACACTCGGGGCCAACGCAGTAGCTCAAAAATGTAGTTCTCACAGCAGTTTGTATGCTAGCAGGAATAACACAGAGTCACTTTAGCAAAAATTGATGCATTACTCAGGTAAGAGAAACAAAAAGTGCATATCAAGGGATTCTTTAGGATTGTAAGGACTCTTGGAGTGCGTGAAGGCCAATCCTTTTATTTTACAGATGGGGATACTGAGGCCCAGTGTTCCTGTCATCTATTACTGTAACAAACTATCATCGAATTCAAATGCTTAAGACAGCAACAATTGAAGCTTTGCGTACAAAGAAATGTTTTGTTACACTTGACCCTTGAACAACAAGACGGTGAGTGGCACCAACCTCCATCTCAGTTATAAATCCACAAATACTTTTGACTCCCTCAAAATTTAACCACTAATATCACACTGTTGACCAGAAGCCTTACCGATAACATAGTCGATGAATACATATATTCTGTATGTTATATGTATTATATACCACATTATTACAATAAAATAATCTAGAGAAAAGAAAATGTTCTTAAGAAAATCATAAGGAAGAGAAAATATATTTACTATTAAGTGGAAGTGATCATTATAAAAGTCTTCATCCTCAATGTCTTCACATTGAGTAGGCTGAGGAGGGGGAGGAAGTAGAAGAGTTGGTCTTGCTGTCGCAGGGGTGTCAGAGGCACAAGAAAATCCATGTAAGTGTAGACCTGAGCAATTACAACCCATGTTGTAAGGGTCAGCTGTATATTATACAATTTTGTGACTCATGAATTTGGACAGGGCTCAGTTTGGTGGTTCATTTCCTTCATATGGTGATGCCTGTAATCACTAGCTATTATTTGGCCAAAGAAGGAGCCTTTCATCTCCCTAGACTTCAAACTAGGTAACCCCTATTTAGCTACAGAGAATCTCTTCCAAGGTGGGTGGTTCATTTGGAGAATTCCAGATTGCTCTCCAAAGATGTTTGCCAATGACCTTCCTAGGCTATGTCATGGAATACGTGATGACAGGGTATCAAGGAGCATTTTCCTTGTCTTCAATATCCTCCAAGGTCTTGCATCAAGTTCTTCCTTGCTTCTCAGGTCAACATCTATTAGTTATTAGCTGTTCGCTTTTATTATTATTTTCCCACCCTTCCCCGTGTGGCTTCTCTCATTCTTGGTGGATGAATGGCCCAACTCTCCCTGAAGCATTTGCCTTTCCTGGTATGTGGCCATGTCAGAAGGAAGCAAGGAGCATTAGGGCTTGGGACTGAGTGAGCTGGAGCCCTACCATTCATGCTAGCAGCTCTGAGGTGTGCAGTTCCCAACATCATAGCTTCTATCTTCTGCTAAACAGTAAAGAAAAGAAGGGATATCAAGTGCTGAGGGAAAACAGAAGCCTGGGCTATCATTATTTTTGGACAAACCAGCTGTTCTGATGAATGATATCTAGCATGAATCCGGGCCCAGGTGCCTCTCAGTCCTTCTTGGAGTTTTTCTCTCACTTCTTTCCAATGATAAAATGTGAGAGAACATAGCCCTATAAATTATTTTCCAATGCAGATATTATACAAAGCATGTCAATAAGCAACCACTTTATTCCTTAATTCCAAGTGGCTATGAGCTTCATTTTCAATTTACTCTTCCATAACCGTGTTTTTATTTTCCATCTCCTCTCCCCCAAATCTGCAGGGGAACCAAAGGAAGCATCTGTAAGGACCAGCTGTACAAATGGGTGCCTGTTCAATGGGATTGCTTGTCTAAACTGTGAAATAGAATAATTGATTGAAATCGAGAGTTACTTTTGGCTAAGGATTTGTCTAAAACACCAAAAGCAATGGCAACAAAAGCCAAAATTGACAAATGAGATCTAATTAAACTAAAGAGCTTCTGCACAGCAAAGGAAACTACCATCAGAGTGAACAGGCAACCTACAGAATGGGAGAAAATTTTTGCAATCTGCTCATCTGACAAAGGGCTAATATCCAGAATCTACAAAGAACTCAAACAAATTTACAAGAAAAAAACAAACAACCCCATCAACAAGTGGGCAAAGTATATGAACAGACATTTCTCAAAAGAAGACATTTATGCAGCCAACAGACACATGAAAAAATGCTCATCACCACTGGCCATCAGAGAAAAGCAAATCAAAACCACAATGAGATACCATCTCACACCAGTTAGAATGGTGATCATTAAAAAGTCAGGAAACAACAGGTGCTGGAGAGGATGTGGAGAAATAGGAACACTTTTACACTGTTGGTGGGACTGTAAACTAGTTCAACCATTGTGGAAGGCAGTGTGGCGATTCCTCAAGGATCTAGAACTAGAAATACCATTTGACCCAGCCATCCCATTATTGGGTATATACCCAAAGGATTATAAATCATGCTGCTACAAAGACACGTGCACACATATGTTTATTGCAGCACTATTCACGATAGCAAAGACTTGGAACCAACCCAAATGTCCAACAATGATAGACTGGATTAAGAAAATGTGGCACATATACACCATGGAATACTATGCAGCCATAAAAAATGATGAGTTCATGTCCTTTGTAGGGACATGGATGAAGCTAGAAACCATCATTCTCAGCAAATTATCACAAGGACAGAAAACCGAACACCGCATGTTCTCACTCATAGGTGGGAATTGAACAATGAGAACACTTGGACACAGGAAGGGGAACGTCACACACCAGGGCCTGTTGTGGGGTGGGGGGCAGGGGGAGGGATAGCATTAGGAGATATACCTAATGTAAATGACGAGTTAATGGGTGCAGCACACCAACATGGCACATGTTTACATAGGTAACAAAGCTGCACGTTGTGCACAAGTACCCTAGAACTTAAAGTATAATTTAAAAACTATATAATATATAACCAGAAAAAAAAATCAGAATGAGATAACAAAGAGCTAAAATTATTTAAATAGAAAAAAGAAAAATAATTTATTTAATTACTAAATGACATAAATAAAATATAAATCAAGAAAAAGAGAAACAAAACAAAAATGAAAAATAAAATTAAAGACATAACTTGAATTTTAATTATAATAACAATTGTAAAAGTATAATATGGAAAATTTTGTATTAAGAATAAATGTAAAAACCTGGACAAAAAAAAAAAAAGAAATCAAGAGTTACTTATGGGAACTCTCATGGGCTTGGCATTAAGCTAGTCTGAGTTAAAATTCTAGCTCTGCAACTTATTTACCGTGTAAGCTTCAGCAATTTTAAAACCTTTTGTACTTCAATTTTCTCATCTGCCAAGTGAGAATATCAATACCTACAGTCATATGGTAATATTAAGGACTGAAATAGACGGCAAATTTGAACTAGGTGGTAATATTAAGGACTGAACTAGATGGCATCGTGGGCATTCAGTAAATCAAAGTGCCCTTTCTTCAGGGAATAGCTCTGTGAGTAAACACGACATGTAGACATTTAAGGGGATTTTTTTTGAAGAGACGCCTAAAAAATGTGAGATCATAACAAATGTCATTTTTAGCATTCCAAATTTTAAACACTGTGCTAGACTCGGTGGAAACAATATGAAAACCCAAGTTCCAAGTCCTCAAGTAGTGGGAGTGGGGTAGGGAATGAAGTGAAGGTCTGTGAAACAACCACAACACAAGATCACAATCTTTAGAAGGGCATACAGATGTATTGAGGGAGCTTAGAACTTCAGTGCTGAGGTGCAGTGAAATCCTTTCACAACAGCACCAGGTGAGTTGCATAATGTCACAACGGGGCTCACCTTGAGCTCTGTGGGAGTTTTAATTTGACTTTGAATTTTGGTCATCCATCAGAGGAAATCAATGCTCTAGAAGAACGTTTTTTAAGGCAAGAAAAGTAAAATTCTCAAAAACTCAGAAATCATGAGAAATTCAGATTTTTTTTTTTGCCTGTTTGGAGGCAAACAATTAGAAATTTGGGGAAATTTAAAACGTATTAAAAGTAATGGCAAAAACTGCAATTACTTTTGCACCAACCAAATATATAATGTGCTTTTAAAGGTTGACTAAGAACTTACAAATATATACTTTTTGTGAAAAAGATTGTTTTCTATTTTAAAATTTTGACATAATTTCAGACTTTGAGAAAAGTTGCAAAAATAGTGCTTAGAATTTCTATATAATCCTTACCTTGGTTCCTCAAGTATTAACATCTTAACACCTTTGCTTGATTCTCACTGTGTCTATGTGTGTGTGTCTGTGTGTGTATGTCTTAGTATCTACTCAATTTTTTTTTTCTGGGAAGTTTGAGAAAAAGCAGAATTATACTCTATACCTCTAGGTACCTCAGTGTGTATTTCCTAAAAACAACAATATTCTCTAACATGATTATCAAAATCAGAAACTTAACTTTGATAGAGTCCACATTAGCTAATCTACAAATATTAAAACTTTCGCTATTGTCCCACTAATGTCCTATATAGCAAAATAAAAGCTTTTCTGGTTGAGGATCCAGTTCAGAATCATACGCTACATTTACATATGGTATCTCTTTATGCTTCTTTAATCCAAAATGGTCTCTAGTCTTTATCTTTCATGATTGACAATTTTGAACAATATACAAGTATTTTGCGGAATTTCCCTCAATCTGGCTTTGTCTAACGCTTCCTTGTGTTTAGATTCACCATATGCCCTTTTGTCAGGACTATCATGGAAGTGGTCTGTGTCCTTCCTAGTGCATGATATCAGGAGGCACATGATGATGATTTCTCTCATTATTGGTGCTATAGACTGAATATTTGTACCCACCCTCAAATTCACATGTTGAAATCCTAACTCCAAGGTGATGGTATTAGGAGGTAGGTCTTCTGGGAATTGATTAGGTCATGAAGATGGAGGCCTCATGAATGGGATTAGTACCCTCATAAAAGAGACTCCAGGAAGCTCCCTCACCCTTCCACCATGTGAGGACACAACAAGAAGGTGCCAACTATGAAGCAGGAAGTGGGCACTCACCAGACACCAAATCTGCTGGTGCCTTAATCTTGGACTTCCCAGCCTCCAGAACTGCAAGATATACATTTCTTTTGTTTATAAGCCATTCAGTCTATGCTGTTCTGTTAAGCATCCTGAACAAAGACAATTAGTGCTACTAACTTTGATCAATAGTTTAAGGTAACATCTTGCAGGATTCTCCACCTGAAAGTTGTTGTTTTGCTTGTAATTATCAGGTATCTTGTGAGGAGACACTTAGAGACGAGGTACCTGTGCCCTTTCTCATCATACTTTTGTCCACAAGTTTTAGCATCCTTGATGATTGTCTAAAATACTTATTACTATAGTGGTTGCCAAATGGGAATATTCTAATTCCATCATTTCTTCTGCATTTAGTTGGAATACTTCCATGAGAAAGCATTTTATTTCTGCAACATTAGTTTACTTACACATTTATCTCAATGAGGACTCATGGGTTATTATTTTATTCTATGGGTTACTCTACTTATTTATTTTGTTGCTCAAATTGTTCCACGTTTGATTAGTGGAAGCCCCTCCAATGTAGCTGCTGTGGCCTTTTAACTAGATTCTCATTTTCTATTATTTTTGCCCTGGAATCAGCTGTTTCCCCAAGGAGCTCTGCATTTTATTAAAAATAAGCTATGTGTTGCTAAACTTTAAGGAATTAAACATCTTACTGATTATATTATTTTGCAAGAATTGGAGAAAATTTTGATAATAGGAAAAATAGACATTTTGCTGAAACTAATCATTACATTTCATATTCATATTTTGTTTTCTCCACAGTGCAAACTAGATACAGGAAACACTTCTTTGTCATAATTTCCTTAAGGAAGATAGATGCTGTGGAATGAAGAATGAGCAGAGACCTCGGCTAGCTAAGTACAACTTTTTGTCCAGTGGGATTTATCTACACGGCCTTGCTTTTAGAGTTACCACTTCTTGGGCTAATTCTAAGGCACCTCATTTTTTTCCAGTTTAATAACACTTACAAAGGGAAGATTTGCCCAAAGTGAGATAAGCTTCTCTCCTCTTACTCTAACCTCTATCCTGCCATCCAGTAAGCATCTCTACTTTTTTCTGTGATGCAGAACAAACATACAGGCTGGAATAAGGTGGGGAGCAGGGACTATGAAAGGATCTGGGTCCCATCACTCCTACAAAATGTTATCAGACCGCTTCCATAAGTGACATGAGACACTTCTGTGTGCCACTGAAAAAATACAGAAGTTGGAGATACCAGGTTTCAAGCACCTGTATACCATCATATTTAATTCTCACATCAACTCAGACAGGTATTTTGATTATTTTGGAATATACAGAAAAGTCAAATGAATTTTACAGCCAACCCTATATACCGACCATTTAGATTTATTATACCATTGACATCTTGTGTGATCACATATTGATCAATCTGTCTATCCCTCTGTCCATGTATTGGTCCATCTTGTTTGTGGGATGCATTTCAGGTAAACTGAGACATGAGCACACTCCCAAAGATGATTCTATAGCCTAGTTTCACCAAAGAGGATGTTCAGCCACCATATGTTCCTCATTGAGATACACAGATATTAAACGGTAGAGACAAAATGTGAATCCAGGTTTGCTTAACTTGGAAGCCCATGTTCTTCCTTCTTAATCCTGTGGCCTCCTTTTAGAAAATGCTGCATTTTAATCAAAACCACAATGAGATACCATCTCACATCAGTCAGAATGACCATTATTAAGAAGTCGAAACATAACAGGTGCTGGTTCAACCTAATGGTAAATTAGTTCAACCTTTGTGGAAAACAGTGTGGTGATTCCTCAAAGACCTAAAAATAGAACAACCACTGGACCCAGCAATCCCATCACCTCTATACCCAGAGGAATAGAAATTGTTCTCTCATAAAGACACATGCACGTGTATGTCCAGTGCAGCATTATTCACAATACCAAAGAGATGGAATCAACCTAAATGCCTATCAGTGGTAGACTGGATAAAGAAAATGTGGTACATACACATGATGGAATACTATGCAGTCATAAAAAAGAACAAGATCACGTCCTTTGTGGCAACATGGATAGAGCTGGAGGCCGTTATCCTTAACAAACTAATGCAGGAACAGAAAACCCAGTACCACATGTTTTCACTTAAAATTGGGAGCTAAATGATGAGAAGACATAGACATATAAAAGGGGATAACCATATACTGGGGCCTATCGGAGGGTGGAGGGTAGGAGGAGGGAGAGGATAAAGAAACAAACAAACTAATGGGTACTAGGCTTACTACCTGGGTGACAATCTGTACAACCACCCCCATGACATGCATGGGTTTACCTCTATAACAAACCTGCACATGTACCCCTGAACTTAAAGTAGGGCGGGTGTCTTGGCTCATGCCTGTAATCCCAGCACTTTGGGAGGCCGAGGCAGGTGGATCATCTGAGGTCAGCAGTTCGACACCAGCTTGGCCAATATGGTGAAACCCCGTCTCCACTAAAAATACAAAAATTATCCAGGTGTGGTGGCGCACACCTGTACTCCCAGCTACTTGGGAGGCTGAGGCAGGAGAAGTGCTTTAACCTGGGAGGCAGAGGTTGCAGTGAGCCAAGATGGCGCCATTGCAGTCCAGCCTAGGCGACACAGCGAGACTCCGCCTCAAAAAAATAAGTAAATAAAAAGAAAAAGAAAGTTTACTTAGAAGGAAAAAAATGTTGCATTTCATAAGGGGAGATGTCTTTGTGGTCTGTGCTCTTTCCTGGCTTTCAATAGCATCTTGCCCCATTGTGAGTAATCCCGTATCTTCTGCTTCTGATTCCATCACCACCACGCGCACCACACCAGGATGGCATCTGATTTAGGTCACTTAAACTTGTACCAAGTTTTGTCTTTGAAAATTATTCTATTTTCATTTGGATTTTGAAGCTAGCTGTCTCTTAAGAATTTGAATTTTTTCACATATGCCTTCCCTCCTTCCATTTTAAAGTAGTTTCTGACACCACAAAGCAGGAGCAAAGATTTATTTTGCATAGTGTCTCAGGGCTGCGGGGAACAGAGGTTTCTGCCCATTCTTGATGTTAATCTGTCCCTAGGCCTGGCCTGGAAGGATAGCCTGCTCTCGCCAGTTTCCAGTGCTGGGATAGGGTCAGAGGGCCTGGTTCCACTTCTCCATCCTATCCCGTCTTGGGTCCCCTGGGAGGTCCTGGCTGGGGCTGCTGCTGAACACCGACCAGTCCTCAAATACTGCTGGGAATGGTAGAGCTTCACCTGGACATGATTCTTTCTGGGCCTCCACTTCATTCCCACTGAATCTGAGGCCCTGGTTCGTGGATCTGTTGCAAAGAGTAAAGAAATGCACGGGAAAGTAATAGGTAAACTGTGTGGATAGTTTTTTAGTATGAGTCTCATGCAATATTTGGGACATATTTGTACTAGAAAATTATTCTTTGTTCACCTGAAATTTAAATTCAGCTGGGCATCCTGCACTGTATCTGGCAACCACACTCTTGGGGAAGCAGAACTCAGTACTGACTTCCAGCCCTGTGATACCTCGCTCCTGGTGCCCATAGGAGCCAGCACCCTCATGAACCCCACCCCAGAATGCCCTGCAGATCACGCCCTGCTTGGCTAAACATCGTGCAGCGTGAGATCGGTGGGTAAGTTGGACATTGTGGGAATGTAAAATCAGATGGTGTATACAAACTCCATGAGATAAATTAGCCATATTAGTTTTTATTTAAACTATAATTGAATACGTGAAAAGAAAATTAGTGTAATTTATTGATACCATCTGGTGCTCCAATTTCCACCGGTTTTTTTCATCTGTTTTAATTTAAACAAGACTGAATTTTCTTCCTACATGTGATTTTGTTCCATTAATTACTCTGTTTTTACTTAGATACCATTGTGTCGACCATGGTCCTAAGTGGATTTAATAATTTGTAGATAATTGAACAAGTGTGACGTCGTCCATCAGCCAATGTTCTTTCAAGTTATACAGATGCTGAGACTCAATAGTTCACCTGCAGACCAACACTGAGTCATTTCTGATATAACATTGCATCCCCCAGAAACGTGCTTAAATAGATGCAAATTAATTCCTCCCATATCTCCTTATTAATTGACTACTATGTAGCAAGGACTTACTTGGAACCAAGGATAAAAAGAGATATATGACATAGTCCCAGCATCGATAGCATCTCAATCTGGTGAGAGATTCAGACCTATAAACAGATAATAGCAGTGTGATTCAATAAGGCACAGTTACAGTGCTCTGGGGACACAGAGAAAATAGTCTCTGATCTGAGAGAATAAAGAGGAAGGAGTAAGAAGAGAGGCAGTCAGAGAAATGAGCACCATGGCAGCAGGAAATGTATATTTCACACAGTCCCATTTTCTAGCTGTATTGTGTAGCTAAGAGTACTTTAAACTTGTATAGGACTTTGTGGTTGCAGAAGCACATTCACAGATTTTCACACACACACACACATCATTGTGGAAAGGAGCAGTGTAAAGTTGTCTTTGGGGGAAAAGCACAGAGTAGAAAATAAAACAAAAGACAAGTGGGATTGACGTTTCGGGTGCTCCCCAGGAGAGCAGGAAAGTGGGACCATGTTGACTTCCCTGACCTGAGGTCTGAGCTTATCGGTGATTTTTTTCCTTGCTGGTTTTCTATGTTTTTTAGTTTTTAGCCTTAAACTTGTGTTGCTGTAGTGTAACTTTTTAAAGACATGTTTATCAGACAAAGAAAGGCTGTAGAAATGTTTCCGATTAAAGGAAGAAAGGAGGTGAGGGACTTGCAACTAAGTGCACAGCCCAGCCCTAGGCGGAATCTGTACAGCAGGGGAGATGCCAGGAGGTCAGAAGTGGGTCAAGTGACAAAATTGGAATATGAATGGTAGACTAAACTATCATATCCTGTTAAGTTTCTGAAGTTGATGACTACACTGCAGTTGTGTAGGAGATTATCTTATTCTTAGGAAATACAGACTGAGGTGTTCAGGTATTAAGGACCATGATATATGAAACTTACCCTCAAGTGGTTCAAAAATATTTTATGCAGATATACACAGACATTTTATATGCACATACATATTTTAAATATTTTAAAGATATATAAATATGGAGAGGATGTAACTGATAAATGATGAAGCAAATGTGGTAAAATGTTCTAACAGTAGGTTATAATAACAGTATATATAACATATACATATACACTGTTATATATATTATAACCTGCCATATGTATAACAGTGTAATAGCAGCATATATATAACTATATATAATATATACTGTTAGAATAGCAGTATATATAAAATAACAGTGTATATATATATATATATATATATATATATATATATATACACTATTATATTAACAATAGGTGAATCTGGGCAAAAGGTATATGTGTATTCTTTGTACCATTTTTATTCTTGCAACTTGTACATTTAAAATTATTGTCAAATGAAACTTTTTCCTCAAGTACTTTTATGTATCATCTTTCTGACACTCACAACCACCAAGCATTATGGGCCTTGTTAGTCCCATTATATAGATGGGTAAACAAAAATGAAAGGCTTAAAATCATACAGCTACTAAGTGACAGACTCAGGACTAGGAGCCAGGTCTTTGCAGCTCAAAGCCTGTCACTATCTCAGGAGTCTACTTAGGAACCCCTGTAGCGCATCTTGTGTAGGCACATGTGAATATTGGATTAACCTTTGGACACCTTCGTGCTATGTAAACACGGTGTGCCTCACATCTGCCCTGGATGGTCACCTGTCCTCTCTGACATCAACAATCTCCATTCTAGGATGTGCTGCCTCCTAGATGGGACAGCCCTGTGCTCTCCCCTGCAAGACTTCATCATGCTCCATGGAACATCTGTCACATGGTAGACAAACTCTCCTACACTTTCACCTCCTTCTAAACATTGCTCTGCCTCTTTGCCTTAACTAAAACCTAGCACCTAGCTCTGCCTAGGGGACACCCTACCCTGCATGTCTCCCACACCCCAGACTCAGGGGCAGGACTTGGCTCTGAATTTTCTTTCTTGCTTTCTTGCTTCTCTCTCTCTCTCTCTCTCTCTCTCTCTCTTTCTTTTTTTGATGGAGTCTTACTCTGTTGTCCAGGCTGGAGTGCAGTGGTGCAATCTCAGCTCACTGCAACCTCTGCCTATGGGGTTCAAGAGATTCTCCTGCCTCAGCCTCCCAAGTAGCTGGGGCTATAGGTGTGTGACACCATGCGCGGCTATTTTTATGTGTGTGTGTGTATGTGTGTGTGTGTGTGTGTATTTTTAGTAGAGATGGGGTTTCACCATATTGGCCAGGCTGGTCTTGAACTCTTGACCTTGTGATCCACCCTCCTTGGCCTCCCAAAGTGCTGGGATTACAGGCTTGAGCCACTGTGCCTGGCCAGGTCTGATTTTTCTTTGCTCTCAGGCGCCTGCTGTATATCCTGTTTTGTCTACCTCATGTAAAACATCTCTGCTTCTCTGATAACATGATCGATTTGGCTAAACTACTCTACAGTCCCTCTTCATTCATTTCAGTGTGGCCAGTGGATTGCTTCCCCTCCTTTTCTGAAGAATTTGGCATCTGGTTTACCATATTTCTCTTCTGCCATATTCTGCCATCATCACGTATGACATCAGCTTTTTGCACATAACACATCCAACACTCTGGACCTGTCCTTGATCATCTGCTCTCCAATGATAATATATCTTCCCCACACTTCCCCACCCACTCCAGGGCTGTGCCCGACCTTCTTATTGTGTAAAACCACTTGTTGAAGGTAGGAACATTAATCGTGAACAACAGACATCAAGTGTGGCCTACTAAATTAGATGTAGGATTCACTGCAAGGGTCCTCACTAGTGTGCAGAATGACAGGGAAATCCAGAACGCTGAGTCAGAACACAGCCAGGGGCCAAGACGGTCTGAACTGCTGAAAGAGAACGTGGCCTGATCACGCATTCTGGAACCCAAACCACAGAACACTGCCTGCAGCTAGTGCTGCCGGGCCTCAGTGCCCGTGACCACACCAGTGTGCATTCAGCTGTACCATTACACCTACTGCCAATGGTCACTAACTGTTCCTTCTTGGTCACGCCCTCTCAAGATTGAGAACCTTGGGTGATAGTTGATGACTGGCTGAACACAGTTCACGTGTGCACTCCTTCTACCTCTAGCGATCTGGGAAGAGAAATATCTCCCCCATTTCAGCTTCTCCATTGTGAGTGGGAATGTGTCCCTCACTTCTGGGATGACTCTATATGAGGAAGGTATTGGATTCTGGGAAGCCAAAATTGACCGAGGTCCATATACTACACCTGCTTGGCAAGCCCGCATCCTCATCCTCACCTCTTCTTATAATCATCTTTCAAAATAAAGTTCTCACCTAGCTACTGCAGCACAACCTTGTATGCTGAAAACTCATGTATACCCCACTCCACCTGAACCCCAACCAAACCTCAGCAAATGCACCTAGTTCTGGGTCCAGGTTTTATGGATAACATCTATTTCTGCCTTGGTTTTCTCTTGATTCTGTCTCAATATTTTGAAACTTTTGAAACAATACAACCTATATAAAAATAAATATCAGGGAGGCCATAACCCTTGTACTGCAACTGGTCTAAAGGCTATAATGAATCATATAGATCCAGTCCCCTATACTGTCTCTGTTCCCTAGGCCTTCAGCAGCACACAGGGTGATCTGGGATGCTTGCCTAGTGAGGTCATTCAAGCCTTCCTTCCTGAAGAGATGAGCCCTTGATGGCCCTGCCCATTAGCATCTCATGTTTAGCATGGTTGAGCTAAGAAGTGTCCAGGGGAACACCTGTGCTTCATTCATAATTCTTCACACCCACCGCTTAATACAACACCGTGTCTCCTTGGCAGGATTAAATGCCCCAGCCAACCATGTAGTACCCTTTCTTTGCTGGTTGATTGAATAGCATGAGGAGTTCAAAATGGCCACATGGCATTCTTAGCATCCAATTCCATGAAATCATTTTATTCATGGGTGGAAGCCTTCTGTAACTGAGTACTAAAACTTTTAGCCTAACAGAGTCTATAAATCCAGGAGAAAATAATTTTGCTAGGGAGTCATTAGATCTAATTATGTGATATGCATCCCAATTCCAGCCCTTGTCACGGATCATTGTAATGTGACTATGAGATTTGCTAAATGATATACTGGAAACTGGTTCTGAGCATATCCTTTATTCTGCAAGTCTGCCTCCTTTCCAAAAAAGGTATTGTTCACTTGGGCTAAAGGTCGAGTTTTTCAATACACACACACACACACACACACACACACACACACACACACACACACACAGACTCTATAATATATAATATGACATATACAGGTAACTAGCAGAAATGTGACTGGCAAGGAGAGCAGATTCAAATTCAGAATGTATCTCTTTCACTGATATCTCTCTACAATGGAAGAGGGCAGAGGAAATCAACCAGCTACTAAGTACCTAGGTAGCTCTCCAAGATACTATGCTAATGACTTGTAGTTAGTTGCTGCTGTCAGAGAGTCGGCTACTCAGCAATAGAGTAGACAGATAAGATTTGGCAAACAGAGAGGCTGGGTATGGAGGCTCATGCCTGTAATCTCCACATTTTCGGAGGCCAAGGCAGGCAGATCACCTGAGTCCAGGAGTTTGAGATCAGCCTGGGCAACATGGTGAAACCCCATCTCTACAAAAAATGGAAAAATTAGCCAGGCATGGTGGCATGTTCCTATAGTTCAGCTACTTTGGAAGGGTAGCTGAGGTGGGAGGATCACCTGAGCCTGGGAGGTCAAGGCTACAGTGATCCGAGATCATGCCACTGCACTCCAGCCTGGGAGACAGAGCAAGACCTTGTCTCACAGACAAACAAACAAACAAACAAAAAGATTTGGCAAACCTAAATCCAGGTTGTTGGGCATTTGTATGGTTTTCATTCCGGCCACCATCCACCCACCCTCTGGGCTGGCCCTGGGAGGCCCAGGGAAGGAAACTGACAGATATTCCCAGACTGGGTCAGTTTTCCCTCCTGATTATTAAGAAATCACTCTGTGGTGGAAGTGCTTTGTTGGGCCCACATATAAGATACAGATATTTTTATATCCTAGGGTCATTTCAAAAGCCACACACACTTCTCCAAAAGTCCTTGTCAGCAATGCTGCAGCACTGCCTCTTCTGAGTCTCTGACAATCTGACCAAACTATAGCCATTGTCCGTTAATCACAGTCTCTCTCCTAAATAAAATGGCCAAGTAGATGGGTGGCTATATTTATTTGCTGAGCCAATTTGCCTTCTATGTTGATACGGTTAGGCTTTGTGTTTCCACCCAAATCTCATCTTGAGTTGTAATCCCTATAATCCTCACAATCCCCAGGTGTCAAGGGAGAGACCAGGTGAAGGTAATTATATCATGGGGGTGGTGTCCCCCATGCTGTTCTCATGATAGTGAGTTTTTAAGAGATCCGATGGTTTTATAAGCATCTGGCATTTCCCTTGCTGGCTGTTCTCCTTCCTACCACCTTGTGAAGGAGGTACTTGCTTCGTCTTCACCCTCAGCCATGATTTTAAGTTTCCCGAGGCCTCCCCAGCCATGCTGAACTGTGAGTCAATTAAACCTCTTTCCTTTAGAAATCACCCAGTGTTGAGCAGGTCTTTATAGGAGTATGAAAACAGACTAATACATATATTTTCTTTCAAGGCCACCCTGAGTAAGCGCTAACATTGCATCAGCTAATTTTGGCAATTGCCAAAACGTCATGTAGAGCCATCCAAAAAACAGGTTTGAATTTTTTTCCTCCTTCGTCACTCGGAATATGGAGCAATCTGTGAAGACACAGGTGTGGGCTGAGGCGGGGCAGTCCATGTGCTAATACCTTCTCCTCCTATGCAGCCCATAGCACCCAGCTTCCCATATTAAAGGATTTAATGTAATTTGTATCCATGTCTACGTTCATGTTTTATATATTGCCTATACATACATAAATCTTGTATGCATTGCATATCTTATCTAAGATATTTCAAGCATTTTGAGGGCTGAGACCTTTCCCACCATTCTTAACTACTCTGTCTTCGGTATCTAATACAGTACCTGGATTGTAGTAGTAGAGATGTTACACTTCACAAATAAAAATACAGGACACCCTCCAGCACTTTGGGAGGCCGAGGTGGGCGGATCACGAGGTCAGGAGATCGAGACCATCTTGGCTAACATGGTGAAACCCCGTCTCTACTAAAAATACAAAAAAAATTAGCCGGGAGTGGTGGCGGGTACCTGTAGTCCCAGCTACTTGGGAGGCTGAGGCAGGAGAATGGCGTGAACCCAGGAGGCGGAGCTTGCAGTGAGCCAAGATAGCACCACTGCAGTCCAGCCTGGGCGAAAGGGCGAGACTCCATCTCAAAAAAAAAAAAAAAAAAAAAAATACAGGACACCCAGTTATATTTGAATTTCAGACAAACAATAAATAATTTTTAGTAAAGGTATATCCCATGCAATATTTTGGGACATATTTATACTAAAAAATTTGCTGTTCATCTGAAATTCAAACTTAATTTGGTATCCTGTATTTTATCAGTAACCCTGAGAGTAGGTTCTCAATAAGTATTTGTTGCATTCATAAATAAATAAATAAAAGAAATCATGGATTTATTTAGCGCTTATTCTATCCTTCCCAATTCATTGAACCTTTCCACAGCTATGTAATAGTTTGAAGTACTAATCCCTTCTCTCTGTGGCTGCTAGTAATGGCCACCTTTGCCTCATTGGGAAATTGTCCAAGTTGAGTCAAAGATCATAAAATGTAGAAGTTCAGGTGTAAGATGGGAAAGCTGGAGAAGAATAGTTGCTAAACCATTTTCTCTTTTGTTAAGCCTAATGTGGGCAAAAAGAGAAGGGAGTCAGTTATTCCTAAAAAGATAGTGGTTATTTTTCTTCTTGGTAGAATTTTGGGTTCAGGGGAACAGCAGAATCCCCAGATATATTAGAGACCCCAGAATAGACATATCTTTGTCTTGTTTTCTGCTCAGTTCCCCAGGAGACTGAATTAGTCAGCTATTGCTGCATAACAAATAGCTACAAAAATCATTTGGCATATAGCACTAGGCATTTATTTTTGCTCACAGGTTTGCAGGCTGGTTATAGCAGATCTATTTCAGGCTGCGAATCTTCCCCATGTGTCCCATTTAGGGGCCCAGGTTAGAGAGGCAGTGACTCCGGCAGATGTCGGAAACTTCCAGAATGGTGATCAGAAACTCACCATGCGCCTTCAGGCCTAAACTCAGGACTCAGACACTGTCACTTCTGCTCACATGCTATTGGCAAAAAAACAACAGGGCCAAGCTCAACATTAAGGGGCAAGGAGATAATTTCCTCATCTAAAGGTAGAGAAGGAAAGGGGTAGAAATGTGTTGAATAATAGTTGAATCCGGCAAACACTACGAGACAGTTGCATTACATGTTGAAGCAGAAGAGCCTGAGGCAGCCTCACTGAGACCTTGAATCCTCTCCTTGGAGAGAGGGAACAGAAAAACTATTTTCCCCTGTTGCCTAGAATGATGTGCAAACCATGTAGCTCGATGTCTGAAATATTGCAAGTGCTTATAAATATCTGCTTTGTCTTGGCAGCTCTGCCATAGGCTCTGGTTTTATTCATCATCTACCTGGATAATATGCATTGAAATGATAGTCACCACTTATTGAAGGGTTAGATTGTGCCATTTATGTCTCAGTGAGTACTCCTAACATCCTATAAAACAGATATTATTATTAATCCTATTTTGCGTATTAGAAGACTGAGGGTGGAGAAGTTGAGTAAGTAGCCTAGGAACCCTGGTAAGGGACAGAAAAGTCCCTGTCAGAACCCACGTGGGTCTGGCACAAAGCCTAAGGCTTTCCACGGCTCTGCACTGCGGTGTGTGAACCCAGGATTCCTCTCTTTGAGAGTTGTTCTCTTCTGTCTTCCTCCAGAGGCTGCAGAGAGCTCTCAGAATTCAGCTTCCAGCCACAGCTATGCAAAAACCAGAAGCAACCTTTACAGGGTAATTAAGCAGCTTTCCCATTAAGGGTTCACTAAAGGAAACTTGGTCTTGCAGCCAAGACCAATGGAGTCTAGAAAATGTCTCTTCCACAAGGTTTTGAGAAGGCGCAGCTTGCCTGCCTCCAAGCAGCCCCTGGGGAGTCCCACTGAAGGAGAGGAAGACGGGGCTGTCATTGGCACTGCGTGCTGGCAGGCAAGAAGAGTAGGGCTGGCGGGCTCCAGCAGCGGCCTTGAAGTTTGACTACCTCCAGTAACACTCTATTTATCAGGCTCCTGGCTCTGCGAATAGCCTTGTCAGCTGCTGCTGAGTCAGGGTGGGTATTTAATTAAAATCACTGTGGTGCTGTAGGAATGAGAGATTGGGAAGATAGCCAATCTCTGCAACCCTTCTCTTCACTGGTTCTTCCCTGCAGAGCCCCACTGCCAGGCCCGGGGCCTGTGACACCCCACTCTGTTTTCTCTCACCCAGCAAACAGCACAATCAGCTCTTGCGAAAGGCCTGCCCCACCTGGAGCCTTCAGCTTTGGCAGTGTGGCCACTGGAGCTTTTTAAAGCTGTGCACATGAATGCCAGAGATGCCACTTCTGTTTTCTTTAACAAATCATCGCGTAGAAGCCAGTGGCAGTGGTTTGCAGTAGAGCTATGATGTTACCAGATTGCCTCATGGACAAAACTCTGCTTCTGAGGGGTTGAAACACACGAGGGACAGTAGTAAACGGAGAACCAAAGTACCCTTTAGTTATGATTGTTAGCTGGGATTGTGGCCCAAACACCGCTGATGAGTTCTCTGGGAATCTAGGGAAGACCAGGTGGGCAAGGGCAATGTGAAAGGGCCCTTCTCTCTTTCTAAGCCCAAATCAAGTATTTGGGATTTGATGATCATCTTGCTATAGGCCTCAATGTACAGCACACGGAAGCGTGCGTTAGCCTGTGTGCCCAGGAGGAGGGAGAGGGAGAGGGCTGGTGAGGAGTGTTAAGGCCACGGGGCCTGCTCTGGCCAACTGGACTAACTGAATGAGTGCAACATGGAGGAGAGCAGCACCCCCCAGGGCCTCGGAGTATAACGTACTGGACACATGGACCTGCAGAGCCGTCAACACTTCCTGCCAGATACAGGCCCGAGACAAGGGCAGGGGTGGGGAAAGGCAGGCAGCTCCAGTGCCATCCCTGACTGTGGACCCAAACCTGCTGTGCTTCCGGCACCTGGCTGGCCCCAAATGTTTAAACAGGAATCATGGACAACACCTGCCTTCAAACAACTGATTTTCTGTGAAGGGTGACAGATGTTTTACCAAGTCATGGTAACAGTGAAAAGCCTCACTGCTCTTTGGAGATTTCCCTGGCCCCCTCCTCTCTTCATCCCCTTAGCTGAGGGAGTCATGGAGGCAGCCTTTCTGTGCCTTAATTTTCTCACCTGAAAAGTGGGCATATTATTCCAACCTCGAAGGTAACTATGAGGATCAAACTGAAGTTATTTAACTTCTACACCACTGACTTCAGACTCAAGTGTGGCAGCCTCAGCTTTACTGCTGTTCATCCATCTATCTCCATTGTGAGCCTTTTTCTTAATATGTCCTTCCCAAGTGACAGAATTAGTTGTCCCATCATTTCAATTGGTTGGGGGAAAAAAATCCCAGTATTTTTGGTTAGGAAGCCAGAGGGTTAACATATTTCATCTGTTTAATGTCTGATTAAGACATTGATAGTGTATCTCTATCTGCTTTCTTATCCATCATCCTGGGGAAAAATGTCTCAGCAGCGTTATGAACTTAGCTTACCCTATTTATTCAGAACTGAAATAAGTAAATAAACTAGCAAATTTGGAACTAAACCACTAGTCCAATTCACAGCAATTGCCCTGGACACCCTGTGTTTAGACATATTGATGTTTTGTATAAGTCTTAACTGATTCATCTCTTAAGCAAAATTACAAATAAATACCACTTACAAAGCTTAAAATGTGCAATTGCTTTCAGTTACTCCATGCTGGAGAGAACAGTGAGCCGTGAGAGTTCCTAGGAGAAAATTAACTGCTCTTGAAAAGAAGAAAACTCCAAGTGTGCCACTTTGTACACAATCTATAATCTTTGGCTCCACAGTGTTAAGGCTTTTAATTTCTAGTTGAGCAGCAATGAAGACAAGAGCAATTAGCAATCCACTTTTCATTGTCTTTGTCTTTAAAGTTCAGCGGAAGGCCCAGCAATTGAGGAGTGCTATTCTGATTTCAGAAACACAATTGCCGTGAAGGACAGCGCTTGAGCAGAGGCTTGAAAGTGCTTTATTCTTGAGCCTTTTTTATGCCTTGAAGTTTAATAGAAGTAAAAGGTGTGGGTCAGAGCGTAAGATGCTGAAAGGCATGAATCATTCATTTACCTTCAGGCATTCAGCTGTGGCCAAGCTGTCCATCAGCAGGGAGACTCCAGGTCACCAAGGCCAACATTCTTGTGCATCTAGTCCTGTGTTTGAAATGTGGGTACATTTTTACAAGTGACTCGCATTTTATACCGGCAGGACAGGAAGGGCCATCAGGACACCTGTCTGCTTTGCCATTTCCTTGCTGGGTCACATAAGGGAATCATCTTCCTTTCCCACATCCTAGTTTCTTCAACTATAAAATGAAAGTCTCGGGCTAGATAACTTCTATATGTTTTCAAGAAATATTCTTCTGCAACTTTGGGAAGTGACTACTCCAGCTGGCCAAGCATGTTGGTCCAATAATTCTTTCATTGATGATGAAAAACAGCATATTTATAATTTTTGACTTTTCTAAAAAAATTGAGACAAGGTCTGGCTCTATTGCCCAGGCTGGAGTGCAGCGGCACCATCTTGGTTCACTGCAACCTTTGCCTCCTGGGCTCAAGCTGTCCTCCCACCTCAGCCTCCCAAGTAGCTGGGACTACAGGTGCACCACCACGTCTGGCTAATATTTGTATTATTTGTAGAGATGGGGATTTGCCTGCCTCAGTCTCTCAAAGTGCTGGCATTATAGGTAAGACCCAGTGTGCCTGGCCATTTTTTGACTTTTAAATGTGGTTTGGGAAAGATAGAAAACCAGCGGCTCTCAAATCTGGCTGTGTCTTGGAATCACTTGGGGAGATATTTTGTTTTCAATTAAACTTAGATTGATGTATAATATCACATGCATACAGAAAAATGCATCAGTTGGTGAGTTTTCACAAAGTGAATGCACCCATGGAACCCATTAGATTGTGAAATGAACCCATTACCACCTCCAGGGAGCTTTCTAAAGCCAGATTCCCAAGTCCTACTGTAGATCCACTGTATCACAGCCTCTAGGGTATAAACCAGGAATCCTCATCAGCATATATGACTCAGACAGGCTGACATTATCATTTGGAAACCTCTGAGGTAGACAGTAATTTTTAGGTTTTCAGGTATACATGTAAATTCTGATCAGCCACATGCATAAGGACCTGGAACACTGCATTAGATGTGTTAGCCTAAGGCCGAGGGTGTCAGAAGTCTTGCCAGCCTGGACTCCCCATCCCAGAGTGAAGTGGCTCATCCTCAGGCCAGATAGTCTGCTCGGGACATTATGTGCATTATAATGTCTCCAAGCTGTAATCTCTATAGCGACCTTGGGATGATTGTATCTTACTCTTACTTTACAGATGAGGATGCTGAAGCTCAGAAGGGTTAGATAAGGTGCCTGAAATCACACAGACAATGAGTACTGGTGTTGGATTCAAAATTCAAGTCAGCCTGATATACAAATCCATGGTCTTGCCATCTCCCTTGTGATATAAGCTCCATCCCAAAATTAAAACCATTTCCAACACAACTGGCAAACAACCGGGTATCTCATGGCTGACAGTGGTGTTAGTTCACATCATATTTTTCAAGCATTGGTTCAATTCCAGTACTAGTCAATTTTAACTTTACTATAAAGGTTCTAGAAAACACTATCATTTTTTGAAGTCAGAAAAAAGTCTCCATATACAGGATTTACAGACTAACACCTTCCCAGAAATGTAGTTTGGTCAGACAGAAGTACAAAGAGCTGCACATTTTCTTTTGTGAATTTAGAATTTTTGCTATCGTTGATTTTGGAAAAAAAAACTAATTATCTTCTAGGCTTAAAAATGTTACATAAATCTCCCCCAAGATGTATCTAATTTTGTGGTTAATTATAGGGACAAGTAGAATCAATAGATATTCTACAAAACTATATGCTGTGAAATTCATAGTAGATTCTCCCATGGCTCCTTCTCTTATTTTATTTCATTATTATTATTATTATTTTTTAGTTTTCATGTCTTGGGACTGGAAGGTAACTAGTGCCTTCTATCTGATGTGTGTTCTCTTATGAAAAATGTGGGGATTGGGCACAGTGGCTCACGCCTGTAATCTCAGCTCTTTGGGAGGCCGAGGTGGGTAGATTGCTTGAGGCCAGGTGTTCGAGACCAGCCTGGCCAACACGGAGAAATCCCGTGTCTACTAAAAATAAGCCTGGTGTGGTGGTGCATGCCTGTAGTCCCAGCTACTCGGGAGGCTGAGAATTGCCTGAACTGGGGAAGCAGAGGTTGCGGTGAGCAAAGATCACGCCACTGCACTCCAGCCTGGGTGACAGAGCAAGACTCTGTCTCAAAAAACAAACAAAGAAATATGGGTGTGACAGAGATGACATGAGAATGGTGATGGCAGAGATGAGAAGTGATTGAGGCCAAAAGATGGATCAAATCATTTCTTCTCACTGCTACCCAGAACATCAGTGTTATGTCCTTATGTATAAGAGTACTTATAATATTATTTGTAAATATAATATAGCTCTCTTTAACAGGCATTCTCGGCATGGACTCTGAAGTGTTTGAAGCATGGGTTATTTGCTTTAGGAAGCTGCAAATGAGGACTGATAAAGGAAAAATGGCAGCGAGTTACTCATGGGATCACATGACACCTTTCTTTGAGACAACAGATCTCAACTGGGACCGTTTTGTCTCCCAGTGCCTGGAGACTTACGGTCGTCCCAGTAGAGGAAGGGACGTGATTGGCATCTAGCAGGTAGAAGACAAAGATGCTGCTAAACATCCTATAATACACAAGGCAGTCCTCCACAAGAATTACCCAGTCCAAAATATCAATGGTGCCAAGCTTGAGAAACCCTTGTTCAGGAAATGATAATAAGTCTCACACAGAGACCAGCTTTTCTGTAGAAACAATGAGAAAGACTAAGTGATTTCTACTTGGACCGAATAGCAGGGTACTAAGGAGACCATGTATTCAAAGGGGCTTGCTTAGATTCTAAATTAGTTCCCCTCAGGGCTATATTGGAAAACAATGCTAAGAGAAAACCACTTTCTCTTTGGAATTCGAGTTATGAAGCCCTGCTAATCTTTTCTACTCTAGCAGTCGCCCCTCCCTGCTAATACTTTTTTGAGGGCAGAATTTGCTTTTCTAGTGAGAAATCAGCACACCAACTAAAAAATGATAGCAATGCAAAATGCATCTCTCTAGAGCAAAGTTAATTTAGGTATATGCAGTCTCAATTGTAATACCGTCTTTTTTTTTTTTTTCAAGAACTCTAACTTCGAATAAATGTGGCTGCCATGGTGTCCCTAGGAGAGAGTTGCTAAGGAAACCAAAAACCAACCCCACTGCTGGTTTTCTCCATCCCCATGGAATATCATTATGGCCCATCAGTCATTTTGAGAGTTAGAGACACCACAGCGAACAAAATGACGACTTTATCTGTTTATCCTAGGAGAATAATTTCAAGAAATAGATTTACCCAGTGCCATCAGAAGATTACCTAATGACCCTTCCTGGTAATGAGACAGAAAATGGATGTCATTCATAGAAATGCTACCTTGGAATACATTGCCAAGTCCTTAATATTGTGATTATAAAAATGCAAAGTATACTTTCTGGTAGATTGAAAGAACATATCCACAATAGTAACTATCAGCAAGCCCAATTATATACTGCATAGCCATCGTTATTATTTGGAACACAATTCATTAATTTTAAAATAACCTTTGTATAGTTGCAACAAAAGCTAGCAAAAGCTCATGAAACTCTCCCAGAGTGTGCCAGGAATAGGAACTAATTTTTTTGGTATTTTTTTAACTAGTGTTATTACATCTGGAATATTGCACCAGACAATGGGCAAGGAGAATTTTCAGTGACCAGGATTACAATGCTATAGAAGGAACAGCTGTAAAAAATCGGGAGAGCTCATCTGATAGACAATATTACAGGAGAATAAAAACTGTCTCCTAGTACCTGCAGGGTTGACCTGCAAGTGATCCCATAGTCCCACCTGGAATTGCACTGCATTCTTGGAGAGAGAGGCCTCTCCAGCTCCCGTCTGCAGTGGTGCCCTGATTGACTGATTCCCTCTGCATACATGCCTGCCCACTAGCCCCAGGGAATTTTTTCTCACAGAGCTATCCACTCGGGCACTGTGTGTTCCAGTCTTGCATGCACCACCAGAGGGTCCTTTAATTCCCCCTGCATGCCCACTGCCAACAGCAGCCCTCCTGTGCTCTGGAGTATTTTTCCTTCTCTCTTGTTTGGGACACTAGGCACTCTAGGACCTGCACCTCATACAGGGCTCCCACTCCCTCTGCCTGCCTGCCCACCAGGCTCAGGGGCAGGCTGTTCCTGCATGCCCGGCAACTGTAGACCAGCTCTGGCTCCAGTGAGCCACTGAGTTTCCTCGCTATGCACTGGCTTCAGCCACACCTTCTCCAGTAAGATGGGAACTTCTTCCAGATTTGTCCTTCTTGGGGTATTCTCTCTCAGCTCCAGGTGCCTCTAAAGTCAGTTCTTTCTGTTCTTTCTTTCTTTCTTTCTCTCTCTCTCTCTTTTTGTCTTCCTTCCTTCCTTCCTTCTTTTCTTTCTCTTTCTCTCCTCTCCCTGCCCTCCTCTTTTTTTTTGAGGCAGGATCTCACTGTTGCCCAAGCTGGAGTGCAGTAGCACAATCGTAAGCTCACTGCAAGCTTGAACTCCTGGGCTCAAGCGATCCTCCCTCCTCAGCCTCCCCAGTAGCTGGAACTACAGGCATGTGCCACCACTTTAGTAGAGACGAGGTCTCACTATGTTGCCCAGGCTGGACACAAACACCTGGGCTCAAGCAGTCCTCCAGCCCTGGCATCCCAAAGTGCTGCGATTACAGGCATGAGCCACTGCACTGAGCAGTTTCCTTTCCATCTTTATCATCACTCTCCAGTGATTACTTACATTACAATTCCTCTGTTTAAATTACGTAATGATATCTTCTAGTTGGACACAGAGTGATGTACCCTTCTCTGCACTCCCTACCACCCCATAATTTATGTTAGATCACAAAAATGAACTCGGATATGATTTATTTTGTTGGCATGGACAAAAACCAAAAATGTATACAGGCTGCTGGAAGCTGTTCTGTGTTTGCCAGTGGCTGGTCTCTGGAAGATCAAAAGTGGATTGCTCTGCAGAGATTCAAATTAAAGCAAGCACAGCTTTCCTTTTCTCCCTTCTCCTAGGAAATGCTCACCCTCTCTAGACGGGAAACAGCCCTTTGTTTCGACAAACTACAGTGATCTATAGCATAACATTACCTCAGAGCCACAGTTCTGTGTTCAGAGCAGAGTCACTTTCTCCTCGTTGCTACACAAAAAGCTATTCCCCCATGCCTTTGCCTGCTGCCTTTCCTCATCACTCTATGTGTGTCTGTGTCTGTATGTGTGTGTGTGTGTGGCACAGCACGTTGCATAATGCTTAATATGGGTGTCAGGCAGTATTTCACATCTTTATATATTAACTCATTTAATCCTAACCCTCCTATTAGGCAAGTACAATTAGTACTCCCATTTACAAAAGAGGAAATTGAGGCCATGAGAGCTTAGTTTAACTTGCCCAAGGTCATTTGACATTTCTCATTTTGCCTGTGCTTGAAAAGCCACTTGACATTTCTCATTTTGCCTGTGCTGCTATTAGGGGTGATTTCACTTGTATTTAAAATAAGAGAAGATAAGAAGCTAATGAGCCAGTGACCCTAGGGAAGTGTCTCTTTATTATAAATGATTAAGCATGGAAAAACATGAAACATAAACATGAAGAATTTTGTTTTCTCATTTGCTTTTAGCTTACTGTGTTGGTAGAATAAAGATGAAGACCAGGTTGAGCTCTTCCACTCCCTCCGCCCTTTCACAAGCTAACGCATCAACCCCTCTCCAGACACCCAGCCTCTCTCTTCACAGGAAAGACTGTAAGAGACCAAGAAGACCCTGGCCAGAGGGAAGGTAAACCAGAGATTCAAATTCAAGCATTTAAGACAGAAACAAATGGAACCAGGGGATGTTATAATTCATCAAAACAAAGACTTTTGAGAGTGAAAGGGGGTACAGTTAATAATTACATTGGTAGAAATTATGTTAAGCAGAACTGTCCATGGCACACCCACACATGTGGTAGCCCTATTAGCAGAAGGTAAGACCACTGGAGTCCAGGCATGAATCAAAAGAGCCACTCAGCTGGAGAAAGTTAATGAAGGGGCTGGGTATTAGCAGGGATACAAGAACCAACAAGGGATAGTAATTACCAAGGGACAAGCACAGGGAGAAAGAATCTCCCGCCCTTGACTGGCATGAGCTGGAGCAGGTGAAGGGGGGCTGCCCACATTGCTGAACTTTGAAGAATTCAGCTATTGCCAGAATTTCCAAGAGGCAGAGAGGAAGTGGGAGGAAATCACCATTTACTTCTGCCTTCTGATCACCTGCTAGAGCCTCCCATTGGTCAAAAACAACTGGAAGCTAGAGAACAAAGCAGCCTAGATGGTGCATCCTGAAAAGAGGCTAGTCTCTCAAGACCCAGAGAAGGGCAGAAAACAGGCTTCAGAGCAGAGTCAAACACAGAACCAGTGGATCACAATGAATTCCATAATGTCCTTTCCCATTATACATCAGCCTTCATACGTCCAAACTCTCAGGTAGTTTCCTATTATCTGGACTCAAACGCCATGAATCTTTTCACATGCCCTAATCTGACCCCACTGCCTGCCCCTAGCACCTGGCCCCCTTCATCTGTGCTTCTGAAACTCAGGGCAGCCATTAGCAATGTCTCTTTATCTTTGGCCTCTCTTCTCAGTGTGCCCTTCCTATTTTGCTCCAACTGAAATTTGATTCTCTGTGGACCAAGAATACCTACATGTATATGAATATATATTCTCCTTTGTCTTCATTGCCATTTCATTGTTACTCCCTTCTCTCTAATTACCCTCAGCTTTGAAGCTCATGGGTTCAGACTCATCTACTCACTACCTAACCTTTTTGGAGTCAATTAAGTCTCTCTACTCAGGTACTTGTCTTCTTATTCTTTGAAGATATTTACAATGGGCTTATGGCCACTCACTTCAACACTTGCTGTAAATTCAGTAGTTACTGTAATCTTTGATTATTTCAACACTCATGAAGACAATCTTTCTAACACCCTGGAATTTTTGCTTCTTGAATAATGCATCTTTCCACTTCTTTGGTCATAACCTAGACTTTGCTGCTATCAATGACTATACCACTTCTATGATCTTAATAGAAAGCATCCCACTTTCTGACTATCACCTCCTGTCTTGCCACTTTATCCCTTTGAGTGTTGGACTCTCAAATCAAGTTAGATCCATAGTTCACTGATTTTTACCATAGTCAACAGTTAGACAACCCTCCACTCCATATCATGTCATCACTTCCCTTCTCACCCAATCATGGTTCATGGTCATAACTATTCTCTTGCATACCCTCAACTTCTTTGGCCCTCTTTTCCTTTACTCTACTCACCCAATGCCTTTCTTCATCAGCCCAGGCTGCCTTAATAACAGAAATTTGTTGTGTTGTGGCTTAAACAACAGAAATGTGGTTCTCATAATTCTGGAGGTTGGGAATTCCAACATCAGGTGTAGGGCAAGTAGGTTTCTGATGAGAGATCACTTCCTGGCTTGCAGATGGTCTCTTTATCTCTATATCTTTACATGGCCTTTCCTCTTGCATGCACAAGAAAAGAAAAAGAGACATCTCTCTCTTCTTCTCTTTTTTTTATAAAACCACCAATTTTATAAGATTAGAACCCCACCTTATTACCTCATTAAACCTTAATTATCTCCTAAAACCCCTATCTCTAAGTACAGTCACATTGGGGCTTAGGATTTAAACATATGAATTTGGGGGAGGACAATATTTGGCTCATAGCACCTGACAAAACTTCAACCTTGTTTAAATTCAATATTATGCCTATTTCATGTTTGCAGCTGAACACAGCGTATGTTATGCGACTGCTCAAACTTTGAATACTTGACCACTAACCTGAAGCACTTTTAGTGAAGTCACAAATTACATAGCATTTCACGAATCAGTCTATTTTTCTCCTCGCCTGGTTGGCTATTTCTATGTCTTTCTTCTCAACCACTCAGTATCTTTTCTCCCATTTTCACTCTCAAACAATCACATTGCTTCCTATTTCACTACACATAGTAGAAACCATCAGAAATGATATGGTTTGGCTCTGCATCCCTACCCAAATCTCATTGTTGAATTGTAATCCCTAGTTTTGGGGGAGGGAGGCGGTGGGAGGTGATTGAATCATGGGGGTGGATTTTCCCTTTGCTGGTCTCTTGATAGTGAGTGAGTTCTCATGAGATCTGGTTGTTTTGGAAGTGTGCAGCACTTCCCCCTTCCCTCTCTCTCTCTCCTGCTAGCCAAGTGAAGGCTTTGCCTGCTTCCCCTTTACCTTCTGCCATGACTGCAAGTTTCCTGAGGCTTCCCCAGAAGCATAAAACTGTACAGCCCACAGAACTGTGAGCCGATTTAACCTCTTTTCTTTATAAATTACCCAGCCCAGTCTCAGGGTTGTGTGAGAACGAACTCAAGCAGTTTTTATAGCAGTGTGAGAATGAACTAATACAAGAAGACACCTTCTTTTTTTTAAATTGTTTTTGTTTTTTAATTTTATTATTATTATACTTTAAGTTTTAGGGTACATGTACACAATGTTCAGGTTAGTTACATACGTATACATGTGCCATGCTGGTGTGCTGCACCCATTAACTCGTCATTTAGCATTAGGTATATCTCCTAATGCTATCCCTCCCCCCTCCCCCTACCCCACAACAGTCCCCAGAGTGTGATGTTCCCCTTCCTGTATCCATGTGTTCTCATTGTTCAATTCCCACCTATGTGTGAGAATATGCAGTGTTTGGTTTTTTGTTCTTGCGATAGTTTACTGAGAATGATGATTTCCAATTTCATCCATGTCCCTACAGAGGACATGAACTCATCATTTTTTATGGCTGCATAGTATTCCATGGTGTATATGAAGAAGGCACCTCCTATACATTCCCATCACCACATCTCTCTGCCCACATGCAAAGACACCCCATTCCCTGTTTCCATAGATCAACTTCCTGTTCTCCTTTCTCTGACCAAGTATACCCTTGGCGATCTACCTATTGTTTCTTCTCTACCTTGCGTCATCAACTTTCCTCACTGCTTTTCATTAGCATACACACATGTCATCTTTTTTCATATTCAAAAAAAAGATCCTGTTATCCTAGCACTTTGGGAGGCCAAGGCAGGCAGATCGCGAGGTCAGGGGATCGAGACCATCCTGGCTAACACGGTGAAACCCCATCTCTACTAAAAATACAAAAAATTAGCCAGACGTGGTGGCAGGTACCTGTAGTCCCAGTTACTCAGGAGGCTGAGGCAGGAGAATGGCATGAACCCGGGAGGCAGAGCTTGCAGTGAGCCGAGATCACACCACTGCACTTCAGCCTGGGCAACAGAGCAAGACTCCATCTCAAAAAAAAAAATGTCCTCACTTGCTCCACATTCCTCTGCAGCTATTGCTCCACATTCCTCTTCAGCTATTGCACACATTCTTATGCTCTTTTTAAAGGAAAGACACTGCCTCCTTTTATCTTATCCTCTCCTGAATCCATTGTCATTTGGGTTTTCATCCTCTCCTCACCATTGAAATAGTTCTTCTCAAGGATACCAATTATCTCCTCTCTCCAAATCCAACAAGCAATTTTCAACATGCATCTTACACCATTCATGATCATTTGGGGCAGTGGATTGCTCTCTCCTGCTCTAAGCGCATTCTTATTACTTAGTTTTCCAGGTGCCACTCTCTGTTTTCCCACTTCCTCAGCCAATTCTCCCTAGTTACCTTGCTGTTTCTCCCCTATCTCTAAATGTTGGAAATCTCCAGGTCTCACTTCTTGGATTTCTTTCCTCTGTCTATATCTATTTATTAGTGAGAGCTTTCATTCTCATGATTTTAAATGCCATTTATACTGTGAGGACTACCAGATTTCTATCTCCAGCCCAGGTTTTCTCCTCCAAATGTATATACTACTTATATACCTAGCTGCCTATGTTGTATATTGACTTGGATGTCTGATATACATTGAAGCATTTCAACATAGCTTGTATGAAATAAAATTCTTGACAGTCCTGATTATCCTTCCCAAATCAGCTTCTCCCACCGTCTCTTTCATTGCTATATATGCTGACTCCATCCTTGTAATTGTTCAGGATAAAAACTTAAAGTCATCATTGACACCATTTTTCTCACCCCAGACATCCAATTAACCAGCAAATCTTGGCTTTATGTCAAAATATACCTACAATCTGGCCACTTATAGCTACCCCAATCTCTAACTCCTCCATACAGGTTTCTGTTGCCTCAATTCTGCCTCATTGGAAATGCGTCTCCTAATCTGTCTTCCTGATGCTTCTTTGTTCTTCCATTGCCTTTCCTTAGCACAGCAGCCAGAACGTAAGCTACACCGTGTTCTCTGTTTGAAACCAAGCAGTGCTTCTCATCTCACTCAGAGCACAAGCAAAAATATTTGGCATGGCCCATAAGTTTATACAGGATCTCATCATGGTGTCTCTGAGACCTCACCTCCTTCTCCTTTTCTCTTGCTCACCACACTCCAATCACAGTGACATTTTTGCTAATTCTCGAACATGCCAAGCATGCTCACAAGCCGGGGACTTTGTGCTTGCTGTTCTTTCCTGGAACACTCTTTTATGGATACCTTTGGGGCTAACTGACACGTTTCATCCAGGCCTCTTCTCTTCCTTTCTATATTATCACACTCTGATGCACCGTATTTTATTTATTTTTTGTTTGTTTAGCATCTGCCCCTCCCATAGAATGTAGCTGCCATGATGACAGTGGACCCTCAATAAATGCATTTGGAGGAATAAAGAATTGAAAAGGATGGATTGGAGAGAGCACTGGAATTTGCATACCAAGATTCTCTCTCCTTCTTTGACTGCAAATGAGCCAAAGAATAGTCAAACACACAAACAAACAATAAACCCCTGATAAACACACCTTTGAGACTGGGTCTTTCAATATTAGCATCTTGTCTTAGTGAAAAGCACTCATGGAGACTCAGTGGGGAGTCGTGATTACTGACACAGAGTTGCTTTAAAAGGGGTCGAGAGGAATGTGCACTGAAGCAGAACATGCTAAGTTGGTGTGCTAGAATTTATTATTTGTTCATATTATTCCCTGCCTAACTCCAGACCTTTCCCTACAAAGTTGCCCTTCTGCAGCCCCTCGCTGTGGGAGCAGTACATTGCCACTCCGATGACTCCCAACCTGACCCTGTGGCCTGCTCTGGCCGATGAATAACGGATGCCACATCCACGAGAAGCCATTGGATGATGTTCTCATTGCCTTTTTCCCCTTTTCCATGAGAAGCGTGTCTTAGGCCAACTTCATTAGCCTGATCCCAAAATGAAGACTTCAAGAAGACCTACAGACAACTGGGGGTAGATGTGGTAGGAGTGAGAAATAAGCCTGGGTTGTAATAAGACACTGAGCTATTCTAACTGGTGTGAGATGGTATCTCATTGTGGTTTTGATTTGCCTTTCTCTGATGGCCAGTGATGGTGAGCATTTTTTCATGTGTCTTTTGGCTGCATAAATGTCTTCTTTTGAGAAGTGTCTGTTTATGTCCTTCGCCCACTTTTTGATGGGGTTGTTTGTTTTTTTCTTGTAAATTTGTTTGAGTTCATTGTAGATTCTGGATATTAGCCCTTTGTCAGATGACTAGGTTGCGAAAATTTTCTCCCATTTTGTAGGTTGCCTGTTCACTCTGATGGTAGTTTCTTTAGCTGTGCAGAAGCTCTTTAGTTTAATTGGATCCCATTTGTCAATTTTGGCTTTTGTTGCCATTGCTTTTGGTATTTTAGACATGAAGTCCTTGCCCATGCCTATGTCCTGAATGGTAATGCCTAGGTTTTCTTCTAGGGTTTTTATGGTTTCAGGTCTAACGTTTAAGTCTTTAATCCATCTTGAATTAATTTTTGTATAAGGTGTAAGGAAGGGATCCAGTTTCAGCTTTCTACATATGGCTAGCCAGTTTTCCCAGCACCATTTATTAAATAGGGAATCCTTTCCCCATTGCTTGTTTTTCTCAGGTTTGTCAAAGATCAGAGGTGCTGGAGAGGATGTGGAGTAATAGGAACACTTTTACACTGTTGGTGGGACTGTAAACTAGTTCAACCCTTGTGGAAGTCAGTGTGGCGATTCCTCAGGGATCTAGAACTAGAAATACCATTTGACCCAGCAATCCCATTACTGGGTATATACCCAAAGGACTATAAATCATGCTGCTATAAAGACACATGCACATGTATGTTTATTGCAGCACTATTCACAATAGCAAAGACTTGGAACCAACCCAAATGTCCAACAATGATAGACTAGATTAAGAAAATGTGGCACATATACACCATGGAATACTATGCAGCCATAAAAAATGATGAGTTCATGTCCTTTGTAGGGACATGGATGAAAATGGAAATCATCATTCTCAGTAAACTATCACAAGGACAAAAAACCAAACACCACATGTTCTCACTCATAGGTGGGAATTGAACAATGAGAACACATGGACACGGGAAGGGGAACATCACACTCTGGGGACTGTTGTGGGGTAGGGGGAAGGGGGAGGGATAGCGTTAGGAGATATACCTAATGCTAAATGACGAGTTAATGGGTGCAGCACACCAGCATGGCACATGTATACATATGTAACTAACCTGCACATTGTGCACATGTACCCTAAAACTTAAAGTATAATAATAAAAAAAAAAGTTAAATAACATTTTTGACATATAAAAAAAAAAGACACTGAGCTTCTGGGTGGTTTGTTACTGCAGCATAACCAACAAATACTGACTAATATATCTGGCAAAAATGATATTAGAAACATCTGGAATATGAGCAAAGTGAAAAACTGCCACTGCACCTCTTTCTTTTCACCATATTCACCTGATAAGTTTCCAAATCTGTTTAAATCCAACATCATTCCATGCCTGCATCTCTGAACCTGAACATGGCTCACAAAAAAGGTGTTACCCCAACTTATCTAAGATTATATGTACAACCACTAAACTGAAATAAACTCAGAGGCTAGTCCTGGCAACCGGTAAAGCAGGTGATGTTTGAACTGAAACCTGAGACTGATGAGAAGAATCCAGTTACTCCAAGATCCAGGGAAGAGCATTCAGGCAGAAGGAACAGCAAGTACAGAAGCCCCAAGGTTGGAGCAAGCTCAGTGGATTCAACAGAGAGAAAGGAGCATGAGGCTGTGGTACAATGAAGAAGGCTGAGTGGAGCAAGATGAGATAGGAGGGATAGTCAGGGGCTAGAAGGATCTAGGCACGATTTTCGATTTTTTAAACCAAGGTAAGGACATTGGATTCCTCACATGGCATTGGAAAGCCATCGGAGGGTTTTAAGCAAGGAAGTGATGATGTCTCAGGTTCCTACTGCTTCACATAACCCAACCCCCCTACAGTTAGTGGCTTAACTCAGTGACATCTGTTTTGTTCACAGATCTGCAATGTGGGCTTGGCTTGATAGTCAGCTTGTCTCTGCTCCACTGGTGCAGCTTAGGCAGCTCAAAGGTTGGGGTCAGGAGTCATCTGAAGCCTCACTCACTCACGTGTCCAGCGGGTGATGCTGGCTTTTAACTGGGACCTCAGCAGGACTGCACGTAGCCCGTCTGTGGGGCTGCTTGACTTTCTCACAACGTGGTGGCTGGGTTTCCAAAACAGGCATCCTAGGAGACAGAGAGGCCCGTGGTAGCTTGTATTGCCTTTTCTAACCAGCCCTGGAAGTCTGCTGTGTTCTTCTCATGCAGGCCACTGCAAAAGGGTGCCAGTGTCAAGGGGAGGGAACACAGACCCTGCTATTGATGGCGGCCTCTCCATATCACCCTCTGAGAGCATGTGGGAAAAGTGGCCATCTTTAGAAAATAAAACCTGCCCAGACAGGATGTGATTTACGTGTTTGAAAGGAAACTCTATCTGCTTTGAGAATAAATTATTGAAGGGTAAGGATGGAAATGGAGCCCGATGTGATGGCTTAAGCAGTACTGGGCAGAGGTGAAAGTGACTTAGACTTACGATGGGAGGAGTGGGTATAAAAAACAGGATTGAATTCAGGGATTAAGTGGCTGGTTTGCACACAGGTTACTTTAAATACCCAAATGGCTCCAAACAAAAAAGGGAATGAGCAAGGTGGAGAGTGCCCAGAGATGTACCTCTTACCTTCAGAAGTGCCGTGGGCCTGGCCTTGTTCCTCCAAGGGGAGCACACTGTTTACATTTCACCCCCTCCTCCCACGTCTGGGACTCACTGTTGGAGGTTACTTATGGGTGGATTTGTTGATTTGCTGATATAATCATCACTATTTTATTGATTGATTTATTTTTGAGACAGGGTCTCACTCTGGTGCCCAGGCTAGAATGCAGTAGCACAATCATAGTTCACTATAACCTTGAACACCTGGCCTCAAGCGATCCTCCCACCTCAGCCTCCCAAGTAGGTGGGACTACAGGTGAGTGCCATCATGCCTGGCTGATTTTTGTATTTTTCGTAGAGACAGGGTTTCTCCATGTTGCCTAGGCTGGTCTCGAATTCCTGTACTTAAGAGATCCACCTGCCTCAGCCTCCCAAAGTGCTGGATATTATCATTATTTTAATAATTATATTTGAATGGATATTTTGGCAGAACAGAACAGCAATGCTAAATAAAGAACTGTGATATGCCAGCAGGTAACACCTCATTTTGCTGATTGAAAGAAATCTAAAAAAACTGCCTCTATTTCTCCAGGGTGCCCATAGTAAGCCTATGTTGTACAGACATAGGCTGACGCCAATACAAGTACACTTGACCTTCTTTTAGGCAGGTGTGGCAACATTTACTAGCCATGGCAGGCTGTATTCTTTAATAATAAGTCATCAGGATGTTCTGGGAAGCCATGGTGCTCACTCTTATAAGCTCGTACATATTAGGAAGGTCAGATTCCATCCTCTTCCCTGGTTCCCATGTTCCAGACCTCTTATATCAAAGTTTCCTCATTCCTCCTGCAACTCAGAGAATAGAGGAAAGGGCACTAGCTTGGAAATCAGATGGTGCTAGGCTCCAATCCCAGCTCAGCCACTTATGAATTGATTGACCTTGAGAAAGTGATTCAACCTTTCTGGGTCTCAATTTCTTTCTCCATAAAATGATGATGAATGAAAATAACCCTACCTCCTGGGTTTCATTGTAAAAATTAAATGAAACACCAAGGGATCAGCTACCACAGAGTCTGACACATACTACGTGCTCAACAAATCATAGTGATAACTATTATATATTAAAGGATAAGAATGTCACAATATTTATAAATTCATCCACAAATTCTCAACATGGTCTGTAGTGCCATGCCTACAGACCATTACAGAACAACTGATGCTGCCTGCTAGCTGCAGTCACATCACATCCTTTTAATGGCTAAGTGACTTAACATTGAGAAGACGGAACTCGCACAGTCAGAGCCAGTTGAAAAATAAGTAAAACCCCAGAGAGCATTTAGGCACAAACCGACTTAGACGAACGTGGATTTCTCAGCTCAGCCTGCCAGCTGGATGGCTTTTACATTCTGTTTGAGCTAAGCTATGCTGTCCCAGAGGTTGTTGCAAATTCACTCGTGCTGTATGCATGTCAAAAACTCAGGCAGAAATTCGCTTTGAAACGCTGACATTTTTCAACATATCGCCAAAGCCAGGGACAAACGGGGGTCTGAGAAACACGTTGAGCGCCTTCAGAGGGTCAATGAGAGGAGCTGTCACCAGGTGTATGCTTCCAGGTGACACAGGGAGAGCAGTGGGTCACCCAGGGCATCCACACAACAGCAAGTATTCAGACATTGGAAAAGTTCCGATGATAGATTTTTCATTTCCTTTTCCATCGTCTAGCATCGGATAGCTTAATGAACCCTAATCTAACGCATTCCAACTGATACATTAAAATCTAGTCTTTCATGAAACCTTCCCCTGAAATGAGACTTTCTTTTCAGTGCCAGCTATCATGGCTGTTTATCAACTGCTGCAAAGGTGGCAAGCAGCATACCAGACTCTACACACATGATCTCATTTTCTCCTAACAAACGTGTTCATTCACATAACAAATATTCACTGACCGCCTATGAAACACAGATGACAGGGGCCCATTTTGCCGATGAACCACTCAAGTTTCAGAGAAGGTAAGTGGCTTGTGCCAAGTCACTTAAGGGGTAAGTAGGAGAGTCAAGAAATGAATGGCCCCGGTTTCCACACAGTTCCCAGCAGGCCACACCTCTGTGGGGGTGAACTAACACATCCAAGGAACAAACGCTAGACGTGACGTCTGGAGATCCAGGTACTCAGCTTGGCCAGTTAGTGGTCGTGTGACCTTGGGCAAGTCACTTCATCCTTTTGGGTTTCTTTCTTTATCTTCATGGCAAATTGCTGAACCCTTTTTAACCTACCTTTTGTTGTTTCTGTGAGAATTCAATGCTGAAAAGTAACAATATGGGTGAATCTCACAAGCATAATATTGAGTGAAGGAAGGGGGATGTGAAAGAGTACAGACTGTATGATCCCATTTATAAGAACTTAAAAGCAGGCCAAATGAATAACAAGTCAGAATACTGGTTTCCTTTGGGAGAAGAAAGAGGTTCTGATGAGCAGTGTGAACAAGGGGGGCTTTTGGAGTTCTGGAAGTGTGCTTTTAATAAGAATCATAAATGTAAAAAATTATATAGGTATATGAAATGACTTTGAAAATAGTATACTCAAATATCAGGAAATGTTTTGAATATGGTTTCAACGTCCTCCTCCCTGCCTGCCTGTGCCCTGCTCAGGTGTGGCTGAAGCTAACAGGGCCCCGCTACCCTGGGCTTTATTGTCCTCTCTGGTTAGACCCCAGGGCAGGGCTCCAGTTCTAGAAAAAAGCAAGGGCTGAGGTTTGTGTGTGAACTGAGCTTCCAGAGAACCCCGGATCTCAGAGTTGGTGTCTCTCAGGCAGGCTTCCATTCTCTTTAAGAACACCCCTGCTGGGGTCACCCAGCGTCTGCTCAAGTGATGCCAGTGATGAGAACTCACAACTTTGTAAAACTGACCATGGTGGGGGGCCTTAGGGGTTCCATCAGTCACAACCTGCCCTGTGGCTCCCACCCTGGGGACAGGAGCAATGTTGAAGGAGCCTGTACCTTCTTCTATGTATAAATTTGTTAACTTGTTTAAATGCAAGTTTGTTACATTGGTCAACTTGTTCATGGGGGCTTGTTACACAGATTATTTCATTACCCAGGTATTATGCCTAGTACTCACTAGCTGTTTTTCCTGATCCTCTCCCTCCTCCTACCCTCCACCCTCCAAAACACCCCGGTGTGTGCTGTTCCCCTCTATATGTCCACATGTTCTCATCAGTTAGCGCCCACTTGTAAGGGAGAACATGCGGTATTTGGTTTTCTGTTCCTGCGTTAGTTTGTTAAGGATAATGGCCTCCAGCTCCATCCATGTTCCTGCAACGAACATGATCTTATTCTTTTTATGGCTGCATAGTTATTCCATGGTATACATGTACCACTTTTTCTTTATCCAGTCTATCATTCATTGATGGGCACTTAGGTTGACTCCATGTCTTTGCTATTGTGAATAGTGCTGCAATGAACATATACATGTATGTGTCTTTATGGTAGACTGATTTATATTTCTTTGGGTATATATCCAAAAGGGGTAGATTTCCCCACCTCATGGAATTGTTGCCCATGGGAATACAGGCTGGCTTACAAAAGCTTCAGATTTTCCAAGACAAGTTGAAAATCAAGATTGTTATATGACAATTCCTGGTTTTTAAATGTTGGCAACTAAGTCAGATTTGTTAAGAAAGGTGCCAGCCACAATAAATACTTCTTCAGGCCTTGTCCAGCCAGCAGTCTGCCAGATTGGAATCTCCATTAAAAATATCAATCAGCCACTTGCTTATCTTCCTGTAAACTGTAGTGTAGTTATCTTTCCAGATCAGCACATGTATATTCCCTAATTCTTCTTAATGACCACATAGTATTCCAACACACAGCTGGAACCTTTATCAATTCCTTACTGATGGTTAGGACTTCAGCTAATGTTTAAACATCATGTTTCTTAGTCCCTACTTCTGGACTAGAATGTTTCTCCAACAATCCATCTTTCCACTTCCCTCATCTATTTCTCATAGCTGTTTCCTGACTGCACTTCTCCCAGACCACCTTCAAATGAATGGCTGAGCTCCTCCACTTACTCATCATTTACATCAGTAGAATTTTAGACAAAATTCATTTGAAGTCAGTTTGAGAGAAATGTGACCACATATGCTGGAGCATTTTAGTTCATAACCATTGATCCAGCCCCCTTTTAATCTCCCAACTGTCCCCACTTGGAAAATAAATTCCATGGCCATCTTCCACATAACCCTACCAACCAGATAAAACCACTCTTAACATTTTATTATAATCCACTCCAGTCGTTTTTATAGGTATTTTACGTCTTTGATCTTATTCTACATATAAAATTTTATACTTTTTTATATTTAACACTGAAATCTAGGCATTTTATGATATTATTCAAAATGTTTTACAGATCTTTGAATGACTACATTATTTTTATTCTCACTTGTTTAATATCACTCTTATTTTTAGAAACTTCATTTATTTCCAAATATTAATATTATAAACAGCATTGCAATGAATGTCTTTAGGCAAAAAAGTCCTTCTTCATTTCAGATCATTTCCATTAATAGAATCCCAGAAAGAGAATTTCCCAGGTAAGGGTAAGAATATTTTCAAGACTCTTGAATTGTATGCCACGTTCCTTTCCTAAAGGCTGGAGCCACTTTATATTTCTTCCAGCTGTGTTGAGTGTGTCTGTGTCACTGCACTCAATCTCCGATATTGAATATTCACATTTTTTACAGTTCTATTAATCTGTTAGGTTAAAAATAGTATCTCGTTGTTATTCTAATTTCCATTTTGTTGATAATGAGTGAGGTTGAAAAATTTTCAAATGTTTATTAGCCATTAATATGCCTCTATTTCATTGTCTTCATTCCTTTCCCCTTTGTTTATTGGGAACTTAATGCTTTTATTACCTTTTGGCATGAGTTCTTTTTCTATTAAGGATACCACTCTTTGTCCTATTTGAAGCAAGTATTCCCTCTGGTTTATTTGCCTGTTAAGCAATTTTGAGGGAAATCCTATGTGAAAAATCTACTGATCTCCCTCTCTGTTATTTCTTCTACTCCTTTTGAGCTTAAAAAATGATCACTCCAGTTTATGTATAGATTTGGCCACTATTTATTTCCATTTTCTACTAGTAATATTTTATGATTTATTTATTTTTAAACAAGCTTAATTCTTCTTAGTGAGGGCGTACTATATAAGGCTGAGGTTTAATAGGAAGTTATCAACTATATTTTGTTTTGTTCTTCTTCTTGGAATCCTATTTCTGCTATTGATTGTACATTTTAATAAGATACTTCTGTTCCAAGCCAATTACGCAAAGACACAATTGGAAACATAAAGAATAAAGAATAAATGCTTTTTCTCTCACTTCATTATTCAGATGGAGAAATGCTAATTGCCACTCAGCATAAGACATTTCCTACTTTTAACCAAGTAAATTTGGTAAAAAAGACACATATTCTTTGTCTGGGGTAATGGTAGAAATGAAGTGTTGAATTATTAAAATCAGTTGTTTTCCAGGTAGCTATGCACAGTAACTGGTATCTACAGATGAATTCTAGTTCAAAGGGTTTCTATGAGTTGTTAACCAAAAATTCAGTGACAAGGACTAGCACAATTTTGTAACGCAAAAGAAAATGCCAAGCAAACTCTCCAGACAATAGACTATTTATCACAGTTTGTTGAAGTGAAGCAAGTACATAATTTCTTGATGCAGCTGACACATTCAATTATCTTCTAAAAGTTTCTATCACAGGACTCCTTTCAGCCATATATTGGGTACAAAAATGTAATCCATAATTACAGATATTTCACGTGCTTTATATGAAAAACCCAACAATCCCTTCCTGAGGCATTCTGTCTTCCAGACAAACTGGAAAAAGAAAATAAATGCTTGGCAATCAAGACTTGAAAAGTGGCCATGAGGGGCAGTCAAGTAGCTGACAGCTGAAAACAAGGAAAAAATATGTACAATGTAGCCTACGGTTTGGGTCTGCAGAGGAAATAATTTGTTACATATCATAGACTCACAGATGTCTGGGATTGAAAAGGACTTTGTGAGCATTAACTTTGTCTATCTCCCTGCTTGTCCTATAGCCAATAAAACTTTCCAAATCCAGGTGCATATCTTAAAAATCAAAATGTGATAATGTGGAACATCAGAGGCTAGGTTTAAGGCCAATCCCACCATTTCCTAACAGTATTACCTTGGGGGATAATGTATCCAACTCAAACAATCCTGAATTCTTTTCTGAATATATAAGGTTCTTAATACATCCCTGGCTGGGCTTATGTGATGTTAATATGATACCATGCATGAGACTTCCAGCTCCTTCTTAACAATAAATGTCAGTCATTTCTCTCCTTCCCTCATCACTCCCCACAGACAGATTTGGAAGGAAAAGCTGTCAACTAACCTCAAGATATTTAACAATATGTACCAACCCTCTAAGGTAGGAAACTTCCCTGCATGCCTAACTTATATTTTTCATGTTGTAATTTTAGCCCATTTCTTCTGATTTACTTGCCAGTAGAGTTTTTGAGTAGAGATGATAACACTTGGTAAGATAACTTTCATTTGATGTTTCTGTAGACTTGATAACTGCCGTCCATGGATGGTTCAGGGGCCTTCTCTTCCTTCACAAAAGCCTTAAATAAATGAGAGACAGCAAGAAGATAATATTGCCAAATAGCATCTGACAAATGCCTTCTTTTTTCCTTTATATTTTATATCCATCTTCCCTACCTCCACCTTATGTGCTTTACTTTTATAATTCTAGAAAGGAATACCTAAGATGTTTTTCCTGGTTTTAGGTTGAACTGTCCACTTCAAGTCATCTATTCATCACAGCAAGGGCCAAGGAAATACATTCTGCGGATCCCTTCCATGGTCCATGAGCTATTTTGTGGCTGAACTGAACTTGGCATTTAATCCTAGCTTCCCCTCAAATGAATGTCAATTGACTGCATTAAATACTTGTCTGTTTTACTTAAAATGCATAAGACAGGTATAAAACAAAAGTATACTCACGAGTATAAAGAAAAAGTTCTCTCATTTGTGGAAAATACTTAATAAATTAGGAGGAACTTAAGAGAACATCTTTTCATCTTCAAATAAGGTAAACCAAGGCTCAGAGATGTCCAAGGAGGTGCCAACACCATAAATGAGTTAGTCAGTGTACATTAAGGAATGAGTTATATTTGCTGACTTGTTCAGTTTTCGATTTGTCTATTCCCAAGCTGACGGAAAGGATTTGCACGACTCGGATCATTGTCTTTAAAGTCATTCTTTAAAACCACACATCAAAGTCACATATGGTTGGGGAAAACTTAACATTGCTTGGGAAAATAGCTAAGGCAATCACTGGCACAGAATTAATTGGCAGCCAAACAAAATCAGCAGAAAGAATCAATGATTATTTTTCTCCTTGCCAATCATTATCATCATTATTATTATAGTGGGGTAGTTGACATTACTGTTCAGCAAATGTGCACTTCCTTCCCCATCCTGCTGTGGGTGGACTTAACCCATCCATTGATGTTGGGGTTGCCATGTAACTTGCTTTGACCAATACATATTAGCAGAGATGATGCAAGCTAAAGCCTCAAATGTGCCGGTGTCTTTTGGCTTGCTTTGTTCTCTGGTGACCCACCATGAGAAGAGTATGACTCAGATAGCTATTGTTTCTTAACGTTGGCCCTGGAGTAAACACTCATGGAACAAAACTGAACCCAACCAGCAGCTGGAGCCAAGTCCAGCTGACCTACAGGTTGGAGCAGAGCTGTTCATTTAAGCCCATAGTGTAATAATAAAATCAACCTGCAGACTTTTAAACAAAAGAATATGTGAGAGTCATCGTAAGCCTCTGAGTTTGGGGGTGGTTTGTGATGCAGCATCATTGTGGCAATAGCTTATAGTGCATATAACTAGCCTTTGAATATGAGCTACGTGACAGGCTCTGTCATCAGCATTTTAATGATCTCACTGCAATCTGCTAACACCATTATGTAGACTACATTATTAATTCCATATTATAGATGAGAACATGGATGTTAAGAAGGGTCAGGAAACTTACCCAAGAAGACATGATAGCAAGTGGCTGCAAAATTAATTGGATCAATGTCTTCCTAATTCCAACATCTTTGATGTTCTAACTATGTCTTTTCTCCTGAAACAGGAGAAATTAAAGCTATTTTTGGTACTCACGGAAGAGTTTATGTTATGGTCCTGAAAACAAACAACTGCCACTCAGCTCCTTTCTTCTATTCCCAATTGTTATCACAAATGAATTGTTAAGGGTTGCATTCCAACTTTTGCCAAGAACTGGGCTGAGTCAGCTCTTAGAAGTGCATTCTAAGAGCAATTGATAAAGAGTTGTCCTAGGGAGGCAGATCAGTAATTTTTCAGATGACTTCCACAGCAAAATGCCGTCAAGCTTAGGAGATGCATGTCTTGGCCATGAAAAAATAAGTGATAACACTGCTTTGATGTTCAGTGTCATCTATAAACTCTCTGGAGCCTCAGAGATTATGACCATATAAAATATCCCCTGCTTTGAGGGTAGTGAGAACAACCCAGTAAGATGTTCTTTTTTCAGGCAAATAACAATTCCTTCATTAGAATTAGCTCCTTTACAGTACTATTATTTTTGTGTTTTCCTGAGAGCTTCAGAACAACCTCAGTGTCTCCATTATACATTTCTGAAAATATTCGTTTCTTATAGGAAAGCAAGGAAGCTCTCTGCTAAAGCTCTGGCTACATTCTCCTATATCTCTGATTTCTTCTCCTGGTCCTCTCTCCCTCCCTCAAACTCTGACATCAGTGAGACATGCCCACAGCTAGGAGGAAAGGACAACCTTACTTCCCCAGCTTCAGTGAGAAGGTTTTCTTGACAATTCCATAGAGAAGTGGGATGGAAGTTCTTTGAGTGGTGAGCTGCATATGGCCTCTCCTAAGAAGGTTTGATCTGCCTATAGGAATGGGAAGGAGGTAGGCCATGGTGGTAGAGATTAGTGCCTAACTACAATGCAATATCAAAAAAGGATGGTCCTTGTAAGTGTTGAGTCTTGGGTTCATGCCTTCTGTGCAGAATATTTCTGAGGCTCAGGAAGCAGATAGATGGGAGTTAGAAGCAATGCCAGCAATGGCATCACATATCAGTATGTTGACCACCAACAACCTGATCCTTCATTTTCTGGCACAACATAAGGCTGAGAATCTTGTAACCCCATAATGGGATTGGAATCACAACAATAAGTGAGATACCCAGAGAATGGAAGATCCTAACATAATATCTGATTCACTCCTTCATTAGCCAATTTGACAAATATTTATGAAAGGTCTGCTATGTGAAAAACATAGAGCAATTGAAAAAAGAAGCAGACTCTTGTGGATCTTACAGCCTAGTGACAGATGAGAAAGGGAGAAACAAATAAATACAGGGCACAACATAAGTTAGCACAGTGAAAAAACGTAAGGCAGGATAAAGAATGGATTGGAATAATTTACATATGGTGGTCAGATAAAGTCTCTGTTAGAAAGAAACATTTGAATAAAGCCCTCAATGAAAGAGAGCATAAACCCTGTAAGTATCTAGGGGAAAAGAGCCCTGGCCAATGCAACAGCCTAGAATTGTGAGCATTGTTGGTCTTGTCAAAGAACTACAGTAGGCCAGTATGCATGAAGAACAGTGAGTGAGGAAATCAGTGGTAGGTAGACAGGAGCCAGATCATGTAGAATCTTATAAGGGACAACTGCAATTTAGATTCTGTTGCTGGTAAGATCAGATGCCACCAGAAGATTTTGATCACGAAAATGACCTGGCTTTATTTTTAAAGAAGTCCTCTGACTACTGGGTCAAGAGACCATGCCCTTGTAAGAGGAGTAGTAGTATGGAGATCAGATGAGAGATTATTAATAAAGGCAAGACATGATGGTGGTTGTTTGAAGGAGCCTGAGAGCAGTGTAGGAGTTGAGGAGTGGTTGGACTATGGATATATTTTGAAGGTAGAACCAACGTAATTTGATAAGAGCTTGCATTTAAAATGCAAGATGACAGTATTCAAAACTGATTGCAAACACTTTGACTTGAGCAACTGGGTGCATGGTAGCACCATTTACTGCATGGGAAATACTGGGAGAGGGGAGGGTTAGTGTGGACAGGGGAGAAAGTAAGGGCTCTATTTGGAGATGTCTATTAGACATCCAAGTGGAAATGCTACATAGAAGGTTGGATACACAAGTCTAGAGTTCAGGGGAGAGGTGTTGGCTAGAGATAGAAATTTACAAGTCATCAGAGTAGCCGTGAGAGGAATAAGTCAGATCCTACATTTGAAGGCTGAAAATAAGAAAACGAGTCAACAAAGTAGCCTGAAAGGGAAACAAAGTGAGGTGGAAGAAAAATCAGGGGATTGATGTCTCAGAGGCCAAGGAAAGAAAGTGTTTGAGGAAGGAGATATTGAGATATGTTGCTAGTTAGTCAGGTAACAGGAGGACTGAAGATTGACTATGGGATTCAGCAACGTGGATTTCATTGATGACTACTGTGAAAGCTGTTTCTCTGCAATGACGAGGGCAAAACCATTAATGGAGTTGATCCAAGAGAGAGTGTTTCTGAGGAATTTTGCTACAAAGCTACAAAGTGAGGTGGGGGTTAGAGGAGTCAAGAGAAGTTTGTGTTTGTCTTTTTGTTTTAATCATGAAGGTAACACAGCTATTTTTATGTTATTGAAGATGATCCAGGAGAAAGAAAAAAATTGATAATGTAGAATAGAGAGAGCAAGACTGATGGCAGAACTAATGTTTATGAGTGTTCTGGGGAATGGGATCCAGTTACATATGGAAGGATTTGTCCTACACAGCAGTATGGATATAATTCATCATCATGGGCAGGGAACCAGAGGATATCATTACACGTGAAGATGGTTTAGGAGATTGGGGTAGGAGAATGAGGAAATGCTTTTCTTACAAATTCTATTTTTTCAGCAAAATGAGAGTGAGCCACGAGTTGATAGAGGATAAGGAGGGGATATTGAAGGTTTAAGGAAAAAAGAGAGGTGAGTTGTCACCTAGGAGGATAGAAGAATGTTACAAGAATTGTGTAAGGGTCTCTTGGCAGTGATGGGAGCTCAGTAAAGTCATAAACTAAAGTGTGGCCAGTCAGCCTGGGTGCATGTGCCTCTCAAACCAGATTCAGCCTGTGCATAGTAGACAGGGAGTAGGGTTGAACTCCTGGGGTTTTACCAGGCAAGTATGACAAAGGGACGGAGCAAGGGAGTTGAGTTAATAACCTACTTGATGGGCTTATGATGTAGAATAATTAATGCAACTATTTCTAAGCATTTTGTAAATTCTGCTCCCCAGAATATTGTTTTACCAATCAGAGTAGATTAAGTTGCACCACCTTGGAAGTAGAATTAGCCTATGACTAGCTTCATTATTGATATCCAGCACATGTTAATCATTATATTTCATAATGCTATTAATAGCATGCCATTACAGACAACATAGTATGAGCTTTGTGTTAAACCAATAATAATTCAATGATTTCAAGGTAAGTATGTCTTATAACAATCAACATTACAGATATACCAAGAAGTGGGAGAAATCCAGTCACTGAATGAACTCTTCTATCACCCTTAATAAAGCATAAGGGTCAAAATCATACAGAATCTAACCTCCCTCTCTCAGCGGCAGCTCCACAGGCAGCTTTTTCTTGCTACCAAGGATATTTTCTTGGAGTAAATTTAGTTTGCATTTCCTTCCTTTCTTCCCTCCTTCTATCTTACGTTATTTTGTTTCCTGTTTTCTTTCCCTCCTTCCCTTCCTCTCACCCTCTTTTCCTTTCTTCCTTCCTTCTTTTCTTTTTGCTTTTATCACCTTTTTTCTTAATATTCAGACTTAATATTAAAAGAGAAAGAAAAAGCCCAACTTGTAGAATGTATCCATTCATGAGTACTGCACCCACCACCTTCCGTCTGCTCTCCAGAGCTTTATCTGATAATATCACTTCAGAACTTGGAGAGTTTCCATGGTAACAGTTTTCCAACGTTTTTCTTTGAAAAGAATCCCTCCTGTCCTAAGAGAAATCACCTGCAAAGTAGCCATCCAGCTGCCTTTGTTCCGCTTTGTCTCAGACTTCACCCATTATCTGCAGTCAGAGTTAGGTCAAGAGGCTTGCTCATGACTTGTGAAGTGGAGAAGCATCCACAGTGGCTGCCCAGGGCTGGGCTGAAGCCTGCTCCCCTCCACCCCCTGCCCTTCCATCTCCCACCTGCACTTGCAGTATGTGCAGAGAGTCCAGGGGGAAGGGGCACATCAAAGCCTCTTTTCAAAAACATCTGATTTTTTTTTAAACGTTGCCCAACATCAAGTCCTAAAAGCAAAAGCAGCAAACTCAGTTACCTGCCACTTAAGAGCAGATTTATTACATTTGGCCCAAGGCATCCTTGTTATGATTGGAATACTGTGCGTGTCGGCCAGGAGGAAGGCTGGCCACAATGCTTTGCTTGGTTACTTTGTGGATGCTGCCTTGTTTGCCCCTCTACCTGCCCTTGCTGCTCTCAATATTCCTTCCTCCCATCAGTGTGGCAGAGTTTTCCTTCCTGGTCCAGCAGTTGCCCTCTGGATGTCATGGAAAGAGATCAGAGATCTGTCACTTAATGATGAAGTGACATGGAGGCTCCAGTAATTTCTTTGTATGGCTCACCTTTTGCCAAACTGATGGGCTGGCATTTATTCCCTGACTGATCTGCTCCTTCTTATCCACAGTCGGGAAGGGGGCATCAGAGTCAGCTCTGGGGCCTCCTTTGGGTACTGTCTGCCTGTCTATGGCTGGTTCTTGTCTTTGCAATCTTGGCTGGAGTCTTAGGTAGCCCCAGGAACATAATAACTAGGTGCTAAGGAGTTACAAAAACCACTGGAGTAATCTTAGAGAAAAGAGAAAAACTTTGATTTTGGAAACAAGAACTACTTTGTGGGTGTTGAAAGCCTTTTTTTCTAAAGTGGAATTACTGTGCTAGACAACTGAAAGAGAGATTACAACTCAGGGGTGTAAATTCGTGGAATAAGTCTGACTCCCTTCATTGATGCTTGCTGACAACTCTTAAGCCTTACACCTCCCTCTTCCTCTTCCGCTCCACATCTTGGGAAGCTGATAAGTTCCTTACACCTCCCTCTTCCTCTTCTGCTCCACATCTTGGGAAGCTGAGTACTCCCTTCTTTGGCACCTGTGGGAGCAGGTGCCAAAAGAGCATGAAAGCCCCTTCTTGCAAGTGAGACCCCTCACTGTAGCCCTACCCCCTAACCACAATAAAAATCCCAAGCCTGTTTCCCTTCCCTGTTCTCTCAAAGCCATTTGTAACCCAGCTTGAGAGGCAGGCTCTCCCCAGAGGCTCATTATATTAGTAATAAGCTTTTCTATCCCCTCTTAATGCATGTGTGGTATCATCAGTATTAACATCTAAACCAAATTTTGGGTGGAAGTCCATCTTGTTCTTGTATAATGTCCACAACAAGTTGTACATAAGAGGAATGAGAAAAGACTCCTTCAAAGCAGGCACAGAGCTACTCTAACAGTAAAACTTTCCCCATCTCTCCATTCAGTAAAGAGAGAAGTTGAAAGTCTAGAGAGACCATGAGGTTCTGTGTTCCCTGAGCCCAGAGCGAGCATTAGGCAGGGACAGACTTGCCCACACAATGATTAACCAAGTCTCATCCAGGGAAGAATCCAAAATTCCATCCTTTCATGCAGTTCAATAATTTGTGATCTAAAGAAAGCAGGTAGAGTAGAAAGCAAAGGAGTAGAGTAGGAAAAATTGAAAGACAACAAAAAAGATTACTGGCGTGAATGACTTAAAGTATGTGTACACACAGTGCCAGCAAGTGATAGAGCTAAGAGCATATATAGGTCTGACTCTGAAGACAATGCTTTACTTCTAAGAAATCTGCCCTGGGATCTTAAGTAAAACATATCTCCACAAAGCTAGACACATGGGTGTCACCCTTGATAGCTCTCCCAGCTTGCCCCATAGCCAATATCCCCCAACTTCTGTCGGTTTTACCTCTTCATATTTTTCAAAGTATCTACTGCTCATCATCCCTGTCAACCATAGCTTTTACTAAATCACCATCTCTCTCTCTGATAGTACTGAAATACTGCTTCCTAATTAGCCCTTAGCCTATTCATTCTCCATGCTGTAGCCAGAGTGATCTGAAATCCAAATTTGGTCCTCTGCGTAAAGCCTTTTAGTACTTCCCCATTATCCTCAAGGTAGGAATTCCTTCACATGTGTTGTCTAAGTACTCCATGATCTAGCTCATACATACTTCTCCAGCCTCATGTCTATTTGCTCCATTCTGGGGCCTTCATGATTATCCCCATGTGTGCCAGGCAAGCTCTTGTCTCCATCTGGGTCTGCTCACATTCCCTTCTCTCTGCTTTTCTCAACTCCTACTCCTCCAAGGTTTCAGTGCTAATCTTCAGGCCTCAGCCAGGTAATAACTTCCTCCAGGAAACCCTCTGTAACCCCTCAGGACCGGTAAGTTGAAACTTATTCTGTTTCCAAGGAAAACCATCCTTCACCGCAGCACTTACCTCATTGTGCTATAATTCACTTTTGACCTGATCACAGCCCCCATTAGAATGGGCTTCCTGAATACAGGGCCACTGCCTCACACATAGTAAGGGTGAAGTACATATATATAGAATGCATTTCTTCTCTCTGAGAGGATTTATTTATTTATCCATATTAATACATTTTCTAAAAATCATTTTGAAATTCTGCCAACAACCAGCCTTTCCATCTTTAATAATGAGTTGCTTTTTAAATGGTCATTGAAAAATTTCTTTATGTCATAATGATTTTATTTATTTTTCTAACTTTTATTTTAGGTTTGGAGGTACATGTAAGGTTTGTTATATAGGTAAACTCACAGTCATGGGGGTTTGTGTTACAAAGCATTTCATCACGCAGGTATTAAGCCTAGTCCCCAATAGTTATTTTTTCTGCTCCCCTCCTTCCTCTCACCCTCCACCCTCAGAACACCAGTGTCTGTTGTTCCCCTCTTTGTGTTTATGAGTTTTCATCATTTGACTCTCACTTATAAGTGAGAACAAAATGAATTTCTTTAGGTTTCAGTTACAAATCAAGGGAGCCACAGTTAAACATTGAAAGCGAACACCACAGTCCATGGTAGGTATGACAATGACTGCAGGTCCATTAACAGGAGGTTGAGCTAACCTGGTGGCTCATTAGTGAGTAGGAATGTCAGAAAATGTACTAAAAAATTAAAGGTCTTAACTCAAAAATCATATTTATAATAACTGGTAATCATTCATGATGATATTGATAAACCCTGAATAACACATGAAAGAGAAAGACAAATGTCCAGCTGACAATTTTTACAGGACATTAAATCAAGAAAAAGTTTTAAAATCTCTGTCTGACTTTGACCACAAAATTTGTAATTAGGGCAGCCCTCACTCCCAGGATAAGGAAAGCAAAGAGTGGCAATCATCGTGAGCCACATTATCTGCTTTTTCTGCCACAGAAAAGCTTTATGAGTTGTTGTTTTTTTTTTTAAACCCACTTTGGGCTGTTGGGTTCAAGAGCTTCCCACTGAATAGATGAATGCTTAGGACACATTAGGAAGGTTTGGGGAAAGGTCTTATAAATACCTGAATGGCTGAATGGCTGCAGGAAGTGGTGGAGCATTTTCTCCTGACATCTACATTCCATTTAGCCTTATTATACTGAGTTTTATCAGGATAAAAAGCTGCCTGGTGAGATGCTTTAGAAAATTGGGTGGCATTTCTGGATTCAAATGTGGTTGTGCATTTTTTTAAAGGAGCGCAGGTGGGACATTTCCCTGTCTATTCATCCTTTTGATAGCACTGGAAAGAATGTATTTGGCTTAATATGAAATGGAGAAATTTAACCATTCTATAATTTGGACACAGTATTTACAAATCAGTGTTGTTTCTTTGTGCCCAAGAAGGGATCTGATCAACATCCTCATTGGGATTTTTCTAAACTCTTCTGTTGTTCACTCCTCCACATGAAGTTGCTACTTCCTAGAAATGGAGTAAGGATGTATCGGGCGAAGCCTAATACCCTTCGGGCCTGATAAACTGGTGGACTCAATTTATAATCTTCAGGACAGATTCACGAAAGTAATCTAAGGATGAGAGTGCAGAAGGCAAAATGAAACAACTGTTGTTCATTGTTTTCTCTTGATAAGAACACAGGTAATAGAGAATACACAGTTGTTCATTTTTCAGATCCCTAAGCTTTTAAGGGAAAAGAAGTCCTTTAAGTTTACAACTGTTAGTGTATATCAGGATGTTATTCAACTGCAGATACAAATGTAGGTGAATCTCAAGCTGCTTCATAAAGACGGTTCTTTAAATACAAGGAAATTTATTGGTATCTGGTAGACTCTCTTCCTTCATCTATGAAATTATCTGAGGAGCCTATTCAAAAATTTTATTATATTTTCTTAATTTTAATTCAATTACATTCAGCTGTATTGTAAAATCAATGAAGACAGAAATTGTGAAAAATTGCTTTCCAATAATTATTTAGAAAGTGTAATATAAAAAGATTCCATGATGATACCAACTATAAAATACTTATGAAAAGCTTGAGGAAAATATTATAGACCTATGTGAAGAAAATTATAAAGTTCCACTGAAGTCACAAAACAACATCTAAAAAAGAGACATGCAAATTATATCTTTGGAGAGAATATTCAACATTCAAAAGTATAGTTATCTCAAATGAATCTGTACATTAAGTGCAATTCCAGTAAGAAACCCAATGTGGTATTTCATGGAACTTAATTCTACAGTTTATCTGAAAGAGTCAATGTGCAGAATTAGCCAATACATTTTTAAAAATAAACTACCATAATTAATAAAACTATCTTAATTATTGGTAAAAACTTCTTTAGACCAAACTCCAAACTCTAGAAGCAGACCGACGTCTGCTTTGAAATTTAGTATAAGATAAAGATGGCTATTTAAACCCAATTCAAAGATGGATAACCTATTGAACAAATGGTGCTGAAGCAATTAACAATGCCAATTATTAGATTGGCATAATACTAGGTTCTTACTTTACCATACTTTTACCTGAATACCAGAAAGAATGAAAATCTAAATGTTAAAATATATTTTTTAAATGATAACATATTTTCCTAGTCTTGGGATAACACAGACCTTTATAAGCAACACATAAGCCTGAGGAACCATTAAGAAAAAGATTGATAAATTTAATTCCATGAATAAAAGACTTTAGAATTAATAAGCTAATTTAACAAGGTTGCAGGATACAAAGTTAATCACCAAGTCCAGTGGTATATCTATGTACTAGTAGCAAATAATTGGAAAATGAAATTGCTAAAAATTCATCACAATACTGTCAAAAAGCATCAAATACTTAGGACAAATTTAACTAGCCATCAGTAAGACCTCTACACTGTAAACCAGAAAACATTACTGAGAGAAATTTTAAAACACTAAAAAATGAAGAGATATGCTATGTTCATGGATTGCAAGACTGAATATGGTTACAATGTCTATTTGAAGAACAAATTTGGAGGACTTAAACTACCTAAGTTTAAGGGTTACTACAAAGCCACAGTAATTAAGACAGTATCATAAAGTTTGACAAGTAAGTCAGTGAAACAGAAAGTGTAACTGAGAAAGAGACCTGCACTAATACAACTGATATGATCATTTGATTTTTGGCAAAAGCACCAAAGCAATCCAATGGGGAAAAAAAAAAAACTTCTCAGTAAATGGTGGTGAAATAATTGATATCCCTATGGGAAACGAATTAACCTCAACTCCTATCTCATGCATACATCAAAATTAACTTGTGATGCATCAGAAACCTAAATGTAAATCTAAACTATAATGCTTGTAGAAAATATAGAGAAATGCCTTTATGGCTCAGGGGTAGGCAAAGCTTTCTTAGGACAAAGAAAGCAATAATTTTAAAAGAAAAAAATTAATAAATGAGACTTCATCAAAATTAAACTTGCTCATCAAAAGATTTGATTAAGAATAGCAATGAGAGAAAATATCCACAATACATGTATCTTATAAAAGACTATAAGCCAAGATAATAAAATGTCAAACAATTGACTAAAAATGGCCCTAAGATTTTAACAAGCATTTCACAAGGGGAGGCATACAAATGGCCAACAAACATCTGAAACAACTTAGTCATCATTGCTCATCAGAAAAATGCAAATTAAAACCACAATAAAATGCCACCCCACATTCATCACAGCTGCTAAAATTAAAATAACTAACAACATCAGATATAAACAAAGATGTGGAGTAGCTGGAACTTTCATTTGCTCTTGATAGCAGTGTGTAATAATACACTTTAGGAAAATGTTGAGGCAGTTTCTTATTAAGCTAAACATATACCTCCATTCAACCCAGGCATTCTACAAAAAGACATCAAAACTATTCATAGCAATTTTATTCATAACAGCCCCAAACTGGAATTAGCCCAACTTGTCCATCCACAGGGGAATGAATTAAAAAATGCATCAGGTATTTATGCAATGGACTACCATGCAGCAATAAAAAGGAACAAACTATTGACACCTACAATGTCATGGATGAATCTCCAAACATGCTGAATGAAAGAAACTTTACAAAATAGAGGCACATACTTTATGGTTGCCTTTACACGAAGTTCTAAAATAGGCAAAA